>NC_000016.10:60320075-60623106 GCF_000001405.40 Homo sapiens
ACAAAATTTTAAATCCCATCACGATAGAAAATACAATCTTGCTTCTAGGTAGATTGCTTCTTCCGAAGTCAATATTTGATTCTTTGAAGGCACAATAGCTGTATTATTCACCTAAATGACAAATAGATGAAATATAGGGGTTTTAGAACAGAAGAGAAAGGTTATGGTATTTGCGCTACAACTACAAGAAGCAATAGTTATTGTTTGTCCTTAATTAAGCGGCACACACTGATAATCCATCTTTATCAGTAGAATGGAACATGAACCTGAGAAACCACAAGATTTAATCTAAAATGGAGTGTTGAGATTTTCCAAAATCTCTTACACATTATCTCAGTGTAGGACTACTTTTGATAATCTTGTTCTAAGGCTATGATCAATGAGAACTTAAAGAAGGATTTAGTGGTGATGATAGGATTTTCTTCCCTTGAAAGATGCCACACTGGGGAAAAATGCATTAATGGATAAGAATTTTTGAAACTTGTTACTTGATAAAATTTTACAATAGACGTTTAAGAACTTTGTTTTCAAAGGGCTTTCAAGCACAATTTTCACAGTAATTGTCTTAATATAATGGCATATCCAACCTTAATATGCAAGAACTGAAGAGATAGTCATTCCAGGTTTTGAGGTGTCCTCAACTGAAATGCAATGAAATTTTGCTTAGAAAAAGTTTGTCAATAACAGGTTTCCTTAAATCCATCCTAGCTGTGAGATGCACGTTCAAATTTTATTAAAGTCACTTAAATTTTAAGCATTTTCCTCACATTTGCAGAATTGTACAAATTTGGGTTCCATTCAAATGAAATCAGGAAGAAAGCAGATGCATCATTAGTGTCCATGGAAGTCAGGTCCAGAAATAAAACCGTGCCTGCCATCCAGTTGGTGTTACCTGCCTGAGCTCTATTTGTGATCAGGTTAGCTATCACTTTAGTTAGAAAAAATCAGTTGCAAAAATATTAGCCATCCTTAGAGATGAAAGACAAGTTATTTCAAGGAATTTGTACTGTTCCTCAACCCCAAAGTGAGGGCTGAAATATTTAGTACTCTGCACCAACTCGGTCTGATTTGGCAGGCTGCACTTAGATTTTAGCAATTACCGCCAACATTTTAAAATTTGATAAAACCAAATGTGGTTGGCCAAGATTCTGTCATTTTCATTTTTAAACCCATTTGTAAGGTACACTAAATCTTCCCCTTCACAGTGGGGAGAGCTGGACTCACTAAATTGCATTTAGGGAGAAGATTTTAATTTTAAACAGAACGTTCTTCTCTGCCTAAGTATTTCTTCTATACACCACGGTAACTATATTTCTCTTGTCTCTCTGTATCTTGCTCTCAAAAAAAAAATGTGATGTATGTGTGTGTGTGCACATCCTTTCAGAAATCCAGAGGTTTAATTGTGTTCATATATTTCGACTCATTATTAAACAGATTCTTCGTTTGGAAAATCTCTTTCCTTCCTGATATCAGTTGCATTCTAATTCTATGATCTCATCAACATATTTTATCAACAAAGTAACATAGATTAGAAAGGGAAGACTCCCATGTTCTTACGTATTTGCATTTCCAGTTGGATATTTTTAAGACTTAGTGGTCATTTATTCATTGAAAAAAAATTATTTTCTTTTTGAAGAGAGTCTGGCAATAGTCCTGATATCCTTAACTTTGGTTACTATCATGGTTTCAAATTATCATGTCCTCCCCAAACCTTTACAGCCTCCGATCCCCTGTAACTTCAAATGTTTCTTCACTCTTTATCTTATGTGTGTCACATCTTCTTATTTGCTTGCTTGTCTTCTGATCGTCTTCCACTACAGTCACATTTTCTGGACAAAGTCTTCTTTCGTGCCCCCATGCTTTCTTCCAGTCAATTATTTTTGCTGAAAACCTGGACTTTCTCCGCCCTCCAATCCAGCTAACATTTTTCTGATTTTATGGCTAGAAAAACGCTTAAGCCATTCATTACTCTAAAATATAAGCATACTTCTCTCTTTTTTGTATCTTTTTAAAAAAACATTTAAGTTCAGGGGTACATGTGCAGCTTTGTTACGTAGGTAAACTCATGTTACAGGGGTTTGTCATACAGATTATTTCATCACCCAGGTATGAAGCCTAGTACCTATTAGTTATTTTTCCTGATCCTCTCTTTCCTTCCACCCTCCAGTCTCAGGTAGACCCCAGTGTCTTTTGTTCCCCTCTATGTGTCCATGTGTTCTCATCATTTACCTGCCACTTGTAAGTGAGAACATGAGGGATTTACTTTTCTTTTCCTGCATTAATTTGCTAAGGATAATGGCCTCCAGCTCTGTCTATGTTTCTGCAAAAGATATGATTGTATTCATTTTTATGTCTGCATAGTATTCCATGGTGTCTATGTACCACGTTTTCTTTATACAGTCTACCATTGATGGATATTTAGGTTGATTTCATGTCTTTGCTATTATGAATAATGTTGCAATGAACATATGTGTCTGTGTGTCTTTATGATAGAGTGATTTATATTCCTTTGGATATATACCCAGTAATGGGATTGCTGGGTCGAATGGTAGTTCTGTTTTTAGGTCTTTGAGGAAACGCCACACTGCTTTCCACAATGGTTGAACTATTTACACTCCCACCAACAGCGTATAAGCATTCCTTTTTCTCCACAAACTTGCTAGCACCTGTTATTTTTTTGACTGTTTAATAATAGCCATTCTGACTGGTGTTAGATGGTATTGCATTGTGGTTTTGATTTGCATTTCTCTAATGATCAGTGACATTGAGTTTTTTCATATGCTTTTTGGCTACAAGTATGTCTTCTTTTGAAAAGTGTCTGTTCATGTCCTTTGCCCACTTTTTAATGGGGTTGTTTGTTTTTTCCTCAGAAATTTGTTAAAGTTCATTATAGATGCTAGATAGTAGACAGTTGTCAGATGTATAGTTTGCAAAAATATTCTCCTATTGTGTATGTTGTCTGTCTACTTTGGTTATAGTTTCTTCTGCTGTGCAGAGACTCTTTAATTAGATCCCATTTGTCAATTTTTGCTTTTGTCTTAATTGCTTTTGGCATCTTAGTCATGAAGTCTTTGCCCATGCCTATGTCCAGAATGGTATTGCCTAGGTTGTCTTCCAGGGTTTTTATATTTTTGTGTTTTACAGTTAAGTCTTTAATTCATCCTGAGTTGATTTTTGGTTTTTGTTTGTTTGTTTTTGCTCTTTTTGAGATGAAGTTTTGCTTTTATTGCTTAGGCTGGAGAGCAATGGTGCGATCTTGGCTCACTGCAACTCCCACCTCCTGGGTTAAAGCGATTCTCCTGTCTCAGCTTCCCCAGTAGCTGGGATTACAGGTGCCTGCCACCATGTCCAGCTAATTTTTTGTATTTTTAGTAGAGACTGTGTTTCACCATTTTGGTCAGTCTGGTCTCGAACTCCTGACCTTAGGTGATCCACCCACCTCAGCCTCCCAAAGTGCTGGGATTACAGGAGTGAACCATTGCACCCAGCCTTGAGTTGAATTTTTTTTTTTTTTTTTTTTTTGAGATGTAGTCTCGCTCTGTCATGAAGCTGGAGTGCAGTGGCACGATCTTGGCTCACTGCAACCTCCACCTCCCGGGATCAAGCAATTCTTCTGCCTCAGCTTCCCGAGTAGCTGGGATTACAGGCGCGAGCCACCGGACCCAGCTAATTTTTGTATTTTTAGTAGAGACAGGGTTTCACCATATTGGTCAGGCTGGTCTCGAACTCCTGATGTTGTGATCCACCTGCCTCGGCCTCCCAAAGTGCTGGGATTAGAGGCGTGAGCCACCACTCCCAGCCCCTTGAGTTGATTTTTGTATACGCTTAAAGAAGGGGTCCAGTTTTAATCTTCTGCATATGGCTGGCCAGTTATCCTATAACTATTTATTGACTAGGGAGTCCTTTCTTCATTGGTTATTTTTGTCAAGTTTCTAAAAGATTAGATTGTTGTAGGCGTGTGGGCTTATTTCTGGGCTCTCTATTCTGTTCCATTTGTCTATGTGTCTGTTTTTCTGTCAGTACAAAGCTGTTTTAGTTACTGTAGCCCCATAGTATAGTTTGAAGTTGGGTAGCATGATGCCTTCAGCTATGTTCTTTTTGCTTAGGATTGCCTTGGTTATTTGGGCTATTTTTTGGTTTTGGTTTTGGTTTTATATGAATTTTAAAATAGCTTTTCTTTTTCGTTGTTTGTTTGTTTATTTTATTTTTGTAAAGAATATCATTGGTCATTTGATAAGAATAGCACTGAATCTGCAAATTGCTTTGGGCAGTATGGACATTTTAATGAATTGATTCTTCCTATCTGTAAACATGGGATATTTTTTCATTTGTTTGTGTCATCTCTGATTTCTTTGAGGAGTGTTTTGTAATTCTCATTGTAGAGATTATTCTCCTCCCTAGTTAGCTGTATTCCTAAGTGTATATGTATATATACACAGATGATATGTAGACCATTGAGAATAATTGTATTCTACAAGATGTTATAAAAAAAAATAGGCGGTAAGCTGGATTTGCTTGACAAGTTGTAGTTGCTGAGTCCTACTCTAGATGATCACATGACAAAGTGTTTTGTCCAGAACATTACATATATGAACTGCTCCATGTAAAAAAGGATCCCTTGATCAATAAGTTTAGAGAATAAAATATACACATATCAGGGATTTCAATTATGCAAAAAACTATGACATTGAGAGGACTTTACCTTTACTTACTTATTTCATTTTTAATCATATTGGACTATGCAATCTTTATTTTAAATTTTATAACTCTTAATATGTTAAAGGCATTGAACCATGTTTTCCAGTGGAAGTCTTGAATCTGTCCCTGCTTCTCTATCTCACTGCCACTGATCTGGTTCAGTTCCTTGGTTTTCCTTTCCTTTATATTTCATTTTGTTTTGTTGTTCTGTTTTATTTATCTCAAAAAATAATGCATGCATATGAGAAAAAAATTGAAAAGTAACAAAAGTTATCTTATAAAAAGTAGATCCCTTCCGCCTTAGAGCCCTAAATCCTACTGCAGAGTCAAATGGTATTGGTTTTGTGTGTATCTACTATTTTCTTACACATATAAAAGCAAAATATGAATGTGTGTGTGCATGTATGCATTCTTTTGATCTCTTTCTTTCACGTGAGTTTGGGGATTCTATAAAAATATATAAATTGGAAACTTTCAGTGTTCTATTGGCTGAAGACAGAACCAGAACTCTTATATGGAGAAAAATGTATAACATTCCAATTAGAATTTGATCATTTCCTATCTCCAGACCCATTTCCTACTACTCTCCCTTTAATAGCACTTAGATTTTATGGACCTCAGTTTTCCTATCTGTAAAATGGAAGGAGGAGAGGAAATAATAACAGTATTATCATACATATTTTATGGGTATTAATGAGGTCTTGTCTATAAAATATTAAGCACATAATAAGTATTCAATAGATGGTGGCTACAGGATAGTGATGATAGGAGTGGTGTTACACGTAATGTTTGGGAGCCATTGTACAGTTGGGGTATTGCCAACAAGGGTCTGATATTTCATGGCATTCTGGAGTTTAAAAACCATTTGAAGTGTGTAATCCCATTTAATCCTTATTCACCAATTATTTATATATCTATTCTTCCAATCATGAGACAGAAACATAGTAAGAATTCAAATGTTAGACAATATTAACAAGAATTTCAAGGAACTTATATTCTAGGATGGGAAATAGATGGTAAATAAACCAATGTATCAATTTAATAATTGTCTATTATGGTGAGGACTCTGCAGGCAATAAAGAAGATTGCATAGTACGAGTTAAAGGGTGCTTTGCTACTATAGATAGCTAGGCTGGAGCTGTACTTTATGTGGGCACCAATCTCATAAAATATAAAATGTCATTGGTGGCTCTGGGGTTGGGCTACCAAAGTGGACATGTTGAATCTTAAGAGCTCCAGGTATATTCTTGGAACATATTTTAAACTATACTCAGAAAATAAAAGTAATTCAAATTCTTACAGAATTTATTTATTTCCTTTAGGACTTGAGGAACTTAGTAAAACAAGACAGTCTCTTGCCATAGACTGTTGGTGGAAGGATGAAAGTTTGTAATAGAACAAATCAACAAGAAAAGAAACTCCAACTAACTTTTTGATTAAGTGCAACAGTGCAAAAGCACAAATGGCAAAAACAACTTATCCAAAGCTGCTGCTGCTTCTCTTCAATGCTTTCTTTTTTTTTTTTCCCCAAGGTCTGGCTCTGTTGCTCAGTCTGGAGTGCAGTGGTGCAGTGGCACAATCTTGGCTAACTGCAACCTCTGTGCCTCCCAGACTCAAGTGATCCTCCTACCTCAGCCTCCCAAGTAGCTGGAACTACAGGTGCATGCCACCATACCCAGCTAATTTTTATACTTTTTTGGTAGACACTAGATACAGGATTTTGCCATGTTGCCCAGGCTGGTCTCGAACTCCTGGGTTTAAGTGATCCTCCAGTCTCAGCCTCCCAAAGTGCTGGAATTGCAGCTGTGACCCACCGTGTCCAGCTTCTTCAATACTTCTTAACAGACATTTGGGTGACAGAATGAGAGAAAGTGCAATATCCTTTTCAGGAAAGGTTGGCTCATTCCACTTTTGCTGGGATGTAATATATATTTTGGGAAGAAATATGTAGTCAAATTAGAACATATTAAGTAGAAGTTTAGAATTGTGTAATAAATTTTGGCCATTTTTTCTGTAGACAAAAGGAAGTCATTGAATCATTTTCTAATTACCCAGAGCATTTACTAAAAAAAGAAATACTGTGTAGCTCTTACAAGCATTACCTATATTATAGGCACTTTCTATCCATTTCTCTATGAACCCACATAGCAACCTCGAAAAGTAAACATTAATATCTCTACTTTACAAGTGAAGAAACACCACTAAGTCTTTGAGATAAACAGGAAACAATGTTCTGCAACCTGTATTTCAGTCCTGATGTGCAGATGTATATATTGTCTACCACCTCAGTTCCTTAAATACATAGATTCTCACCATATACCGATTGCCGTCAATATGGTTTCCCATCAAAGCAGCACCATGAATGGTATTTATGTTCTTTGCCAATGTTGCTCTATTTTATTTATAGCTGAATAGTATAGAATCTTTTAAATATAAGTTAGCTTCATTATATATCTGTATCTATATATGTGTGTATATATATGTGTGTATATATATGTGTGTGTATATATATGTGTGTGTGTATATATACACACACACACACACACACACACACACACACAGATATCTCAAAATTCTGAGGTTCTTCTGACCCATCTGAAGGCTGGACTCCAATTAGGTACAGAGTAATCAGAGCGAGGGGCTGCAGGAGTGTCCATGTTGGGAGAGAGCTTTGCAGACATGGATAGGAAAGATACGGTGGAGAGGTGTGTGCATCAGCAGCCCTGGTGGAGGACATTAGTAAGGATTACAGGAACAGGTTGTGACCATGCAGAGTCTTCAGTGACAAAAACATTTTCAGCCATGGGTAGGATTATCTGTGAGCAGGGCCAGCAGGTGCTCATATAATCTTTAGCAGAATAAAAGGTATTTAAAAGTCAGAAACGTGTGTGTGTGTGTGTGCATGCGTGCGCACACACATGCGTGTGTGTGTGTGAAATATTCTTAATTTGAGTGGAAAATCACCATTACCTTTTTCCTGTGTGCTTTTGATTTTTTTAGTCTTAAATGTTGTGCCACTGTCTGCTGCTGGGAAACTCCTATTAACTTTCCAAACTCAGCTCCATCATAAACTCTTCCAGGAAGTCTTCCTTGATGCCACTCACAATCCTTTCCTGTTCACTTTGCACATTCCTCTATTTGTGTGCTTTCCACAGTTGTTTATCTGACTGTCTCTCTTAAATCTAAAGCTGCTGAGGACAGGGCCAGTGCCTTATTCATCCTCTGTTCCACGTATCAGTATCTGTAGATATACCGATACCGGTATATCAAGACAGCAAAAATACTCTGTCTTGAATTGAATTAAACAAATGGTAAATTAATAGATGCAATTTCACCATAGGAAGGCGCAAGTGGGGTTAATTAGTAAAAGATTCTAAGAAACAGTGGATGAAACATCAAGTGCAGTTTTCCCTCTCAAATCCAGTTCTTTGCCCTCCCTCCCATTTCCTGATTTGTGATGAAAGATGTAAAGCTGTTGGGCTTTTATGAATCTTGCCACTAGCCTCCAAAACCTTTCAAATATGATTCAATTTCATGCAGACAGAGACTCAGAGAAACTTGGCAGTTAACAGCTAATGGCTTTTAAGGGTTTAAGTCAGCCCTAAACATTACTCCAATGAGTTTTTGTGGTTTAATTACCTTAAAACATTAAGTAGTCAAGCAGTCCATCAATACACATGCATTTAGAGATATCAAATGTGCGCTCTTCACAAATATAGCCTTGAAGGTGTCTAATACAGCATCTTATTTTGCCAAAAAAACATGTAAAAATAGTTTAAGTCTACCTATTTGAGGCTAATGATGTGTGCCATCATTAAGCTGGAAAAAATGCTTAACTCAAAAATTATTCTTTAAACAGTAAGGAAGAGCTTTACAACGCAAGGGACAGAGCGATTTCTGCCTTACCCTATTCTCCCCCATACCATGTTAATTTTAAGCAGTGCACCTAGAGGCTAAGATGCCCGACTCTGGATTTCAACAGCTCTGAGTTCATATCCCACGTCTGCAATTTGTAGGAAAGTAAAGTAATAAGATAATACGTTTGTGGAGAATAATCATAATAATTATTCAGCTGGGATTTTGTGAATATTTTATGAAATTATGCATGTAAAGGTGTTAATAATAATAGATAATATGTGCTAGGCAGTCTTTGATTTTAAAAGCCTATTCTTGAGGACACGGAGGAAAGGAAAAAAATGAGTTTGAAGGGTCAGTATCCAATTTTAAGGCTGTAAAAATGAGCTTAATATCTCCATTGTGATTTTCCTTATTCAGACTGTAATTAAAGAAGCTAACAATTGTCACTTATTTTATGCACCGTTTGAGATGTTTTCTTCTCCAAAACTCATTTCCATCCTTGGACTCACAATAATAACTTCATTACTCTTTTCAAGTCAAATCACGTCCCAATCTCAACCATTCAAATTGGCCTAAGATCCCACACTAACAAAATGTTAATATATATGAGTAATGCATTTTGGGTTCAGAGATAGGAAGAGAAACCTTCAGGGAGGCAGAAATGAGTTATTGACCTGCTATAGAATGTGTCATTTGGAGAGAACCGCACTGTAGAAAGAGATGATTCAAATGCCTGATTTCAAGGGGCAATGCAATCTAGTTTACTAATCTCTCATTATACTAAGGTGAGGCTTTTATGAACACTGCTCATTAGCATCTCAATAGCATTAAAAATCCAGATAATGGGTGACAATTTTATTCTTATTACTAAGCAATTCCAAAAATTTTCATTCATTAATCCATCATTCAAAAATTAAGAATGGTGAAAGGTAAAAGCAGATCATTTGAACCATATACGTTTGAACCATATAGACATGGGCATTATATGTTACTTATTGTTTGTTTATGTATTTATTTATTAATTGAGATGGAGTTTCATTCTTGTTGCCCAGGTTGGAGTGCAATGGCGCGATCTCAGCTCACTGCAACCTCCGCCTCCAGGGTTCAAGCGATTCTCCTGTCTCAGCCTCTCCAGTAGCTGGGTCTACAGGCGCCCGCCACCACGCCCAGCTAAGTTTTGGTAATTTTAGTAAAGATGGGGTTTCACCATGTTGGCCGAGCTGGTCTCGAACTCCTGACCTCAGGTGATCTGCCCGTCTCAGCCTCTCAAAGTGCTGGGATTACAGGCGTGAGCCACCACGCCCAGACTGTTTATTTATTTTTAATTTACAGATTTCTGAGTAATGTAAGTGAACACCTCCATGGCCTCTGAAGTCATTTTTCTCCCTGAGCCACCTCTTCACCTAGGCTGCCATTGCTCTCCTTTCTTCTTTCCTCACATCCTGTTTTGCCCCCTCTCCATGCAAGCTGATGTCTCCCCTGTAGTAGAACTCAGTGTTGAGGCTGGAACTGAAATCATATGGTCAAGTTTCATCTAATGCATATAAAAATGTTTTCGCCCATTATCTGGTTAGAGGAAAAGGTAAATTTTTGTTTTTGTTGCTTTTTGCCTTAGAGGGATAACATGAAAGTTGGATTGGCTGGTAAAAAGCCTTAACTTAACATCTGTTAGTTGAAGCTGGGCAAGCCAGTTCCCCCAAAATTGGCACATAATCCTCTTGAGTGAGCAAAGCTGCCATGTGAGCTCAGAGGTTTCAATTAGAGTATAAAGGGATCTGAATTTATATTCTGCAGTGGGAAAGGGTGACTTAACAAAGGAAAGAAAGAATATGTAATCGGCTTTTCTTCTTTTATTTTGATGGAGTAAATCTATCATTGTTTACAATGAGACATATGAAATTTACTCTCTTGGTTATTTTGACATATATAATACAATGTTATTGACTATAGTCACCCTGCTGTGTAATAGATCTCAAAACCTATTTCTCCTATCTATCTTAAATGTTGTACCCTGGCTGGGCATGATGGCTTACACCTGTAATCCCAGCACTTTGGGAGGTCACCATAGTTGGAGGCATCACACTCCTTGATTTCAAAACATAGAGCACTTATAATCAAACAGCATGGTACTGGCATTAAAACAGACATATCAACCAAGGGTATAGGTTAATAAAAAACCCAGAAATAAATCCATGCATTAATGATCAACTAATTTTTGACAGAGGCGGCATGAACCCACAATGGGGAAGACATTCTCTACATTAAATGGTATTAGAAAAACTGAATATTTACATGCAGAAGAATGAAATTAGACACTCATACTATATAAAAATGCAAAGTGAATAAAGATTTAAATATAATAAATGAAATTGGAAAATTGCCAGAAAAATACATATGGGGAAAGCTTCATGTCACAAGCTCCAGCACAGTATGTGGAGACAACGTACAGATTGGGAGGAAATATTTCGAAATTATCCATCTGATAAGGGATTAATATCCAAAAAAAACAAGGCTTTTCTTCTTTATTTCAAGCATAGTTAGGTTGACTAAGGTGTTCTTTCCAACAACCAGTGTACTGATACAAGAAAAAGAATAAACAGAAATAAGTTCAGCTCTCAATATCTGAACATACATATAGATGATCCTGTAAGTGGGGTGAGAGGTGAAGCTACATGTGAGAAATACAAGCTTGGTATGAGAACCAGTGAAGTCAATCACATAAAAAACATGTGTAAGTTATATTGCGCAATATAAATCTAAGATGCCGTTAGATTAACAGAATAATGATTAACTGTGACTTGCCAATTTATTAGCTTTTAATTGCCCTAAGCATAATGAACATAGGAAGTACTTGGATAATTATAAACCTGTCTATATTGTGGTATAGTTGGATGAGCATAGGGTTGCAGTCAGGCAAGCCTGAGTTAACACTGCAGTCTTGTTCTCATAGCTCTGTGACATTGGACAATGTACTTTACCTCTGTGCAATGTGAATAATAATTTCCATTTCCAGAGTTGTTTTAATGGTGAGAGATAATGTATCTAAAGCAGCTAGCTTAGTGCCTGACACATAGATACTCAATACTCAGTAGCAGCAGTGGCAGCAGCAACTGCTGTTATTATAGTCCTTACTCCAAGAAATTTCCCTCATTAAAAAAGAGAATGAACTCCTTTGGAAATAAAACAGAGTCAGTGTACCTTCTAAAGGGGCCTGAGGCAGGAGTGACAATGATGTGAGCACAGCAGAAAGACTGAGGTCTAGATTCTGCTGGTTCAGTGAGGCCTGGCAGATGCTATGGATGAGGCATGGGGACAGACACTTCTTCAGGATCATTTTGGCTCTCTGCATTATAGGACACCCAGGAAAGACTTTCACTCAGGGGCCTTTTTTTTTTTTTTAATGCATGCACAGTATTGAACTCAATAGCTGATATTCTCTGCCCGCATCACTGGCTACTACCAGAAGAGAAATAGGAATCAAGTTTTCCTCTTGGCTTTATCACAGAAGGAAGCCACTGAGTATTTACTTATGTCCCTGGCTTAGATTCATCATTGGCCTGGCTCTAAGTTTTTAGATAAGCTACTAAACTGCTCTAAGTGTCAGTTTAGTAATGAGGGAACTGCCTCATTATTAAAATGGTCCTAGTGATGGAATCTTATATACAAGGTCACTCGGTACCATTCAACTCCATCCTCGTGAGAGGTGAAGTCAGCTGGATTTCCTGGGTCAAGTGAGGACTTGGAGAACTTTTCTGTGTCTAGCTAAAGGATTGTAAATGCACCAATCAGCACTCTGTCAAAACGCACCAATCAGCACTCTGTGTCTAGCTAAAAGATTGTAAATGCACCAATCAGCACTCTGTCAAAACACACCAATCAGAACTCCTTGTATAGCTAAAGGATTGTAAATGAACCAATCAGCAATCTGCAAAATGGACCAATCAGCACTCTATAAAATGGACCAATCAGCACTCTGTAAAATGGACCAATCAGCAGGATGTGGGTGGGGTCAAATAAGGGAATAAAAGCTGGCCACCCCTCTAGCCAGCAGCAGCAACTAGCTTGGGTCCCCTTCCATGCTGTGGAGGCTTTGTTCTTTCGCTCTTCACGATAATCTTGCTGCTGCTCACTCTTTGGGTCTGTGCCACCTTTAAGAGCTGTAACACTCACCGTGAAGGTCTGTGGCTTCATTCTTGAAGTCAGCGAGACCAAGAACCCACTGGAAGGAACCAACTTCAGACACACTCATATCAAGTGCCTGAAACAGAGCCGTGGCAAGTTAAAAGTTTAAGCTTCTGCTTTAATCCCTGCCTGGAAGAGCTCATCCATGACCAGGTGGAACTGAGGTAGTGTCCTTAGTGTTATCATGGTACTTTCATTTTCGTGATGTGCTGTATCATTGTCATCAAGTAATACCATATTCTGTCCCCCTCCTTAATACTAAAACATAGGCTGGTGCTTTTAATCCAGTTATTAAGCCATTGTTAACAACTAGACCTTTACACTCATTCATACGAGATTAAATGGTTTTATACAAAACAAAATTACATGTTTTCTTTATCATCATTTGTTAAATGTGTTCCATGTGGCCATAATTGAACTATGCTACATACGTTATCTCATTTAACCCCTAAAATAATTTACAGGGTGTCTTAATTCATTCAGGCTGTCATAACATAATACCATTTACTGGGTGGCTTATAAATGACAGACATGTATTGCTCACAATTCTGGAGAATGGGAAGCTCAATATCAAGGTGTTGGCAGATTCGGTTTCTGGTAAGGGCTTGCTTGCTCCCTGGTTCATAGCTAGCACCTTCTGGATGTGTCCTTATAAGGTGGAAGGGGCTAGCTCACTCTATGGAGTCTCTCTCTTTTTTTTTTTTTAAACAGGGTCTCACTATATTGCCCAGGCAGGTCTCAAACTCCTGGACTCAAGCCATCCTCCCCACTCTGCCTCCCTGAGACCTGAGATTACAGATATGAGCCATGCCACTGCGCCTGGCTGGAGTCTCTTTTTTTTTTTTTTTTTTTTTTTGAGACAGAGTCTCGCTCTTTCACCAGGCTGGAATGCAGTGGCATGCTCTCAGCTCACTGCACCCTCTGCCTCCCAGGTTCAAGCGATTCTCGTGCCTCAGCCTCCCGAGTAGCTGGGATTACAGGCATGCACCACCACACCCAGCTAATTTGTGTATTTTTAGTAGAGACAGGGTTTCACCATGTTGGCCAGGATGGTCTGAATCTCCTAACCTCGTGATCTGCCCACTTTGGCCTCCCAAAGTGCTGGGATTATAGGCTGGAGTGCAGTGGGGTGATCTCAGCTCACGGCACCCTCTGCCTCCCAGGTTCAAGTGATTCTCGTGCCTCAGCCTCCTGAGTAGCTGGGATTACAGGCACACACCACCACACCCAGCTAATTTGTGTATTTTTAGTAGAGACAGGGTTTCACCATGTTACCCAGGATGATCTTGATCTCCTGACCTTGTGATCTGCCTGCCTCGGCCTCCCAAAGTGCTGGGACTACAGGCGAGAGCCACCGCGCCCGGCCTGGAGTCTCTTTTATAAGGGGACAAATTCAACTCATGAGGGCAGAGCCCTCAAGATCTAATTTCCTCCTTAAGGCTCTACTTTCTAATACTATCACGTTGGGGATTTGGTTTTAGCATATGAACTTTGAGGAAAGGGCATGAAATAAGTGTTATTATTGTCCCCATTTGATTGATGAGGAAGCTGAGGCTTATTTTAGTGAATAATCTGCCCCATGTTTTAGAGCAAACATACAAGATGCTGGAGTATGGACCATGCTTTCTGGTTGTGATGTTGATTTATAATTCTTTATACACTACCCTCTTCTAAAATCATGTGACTAAGTCTCAGTAACTTAAAATCATTAGGACATTTTCATGTCACATAACTTGCGATTGGTTTGCCATCATTCCAATGTACAATGATGAGGTTATTTGTTTCTTTATTTCCCATGAAATGCCTTTATCACTGAGAAAAATTCTGTTCTTATTGGAGTCAGCAATAACAATTGTAAACACATCTTCTCATAAGTGTCTGTATATAATATGCTCCTGAATTGTTTTAATTTATAGTAAGACTGGAGGAATATTATGCACATCAGTCTTATAAATAATGTGACATAAATAACAGCTGCATTTAGTGCCAAAGCAATTATTTTCTTCCCAAGTAATCATTCATTTTTTAGTGGAAACTGAAAATTTGCATCCAACATTGTCTCCTTACATAATTAGGGTGAGTCTCCTTTACTCTCTTGCCTTGATGTTTAATACACGAAAATAATTAGTTTTTCTTAGGGAAGTGTCAAGATCTACTGACACTTTTTATTTTTGCCTAGGGTAAGGAGCAAGATTATGTTTATGGTAACAGTGATATTAGTACCTATTTTGTATCATCATTGTGGGTTGCTTTAAAGAGTTGATATACTTTGGGAGGCCGAGGCGGGCGGATCACAAGGTCAGGAGATCGAGACAATCCTGGCTAACACAGTGAAACCCCGTCTCTACTAAAAATACAAAAAATTAGCCGGGCACGGTGGCGGGCGCCTGTAGTCCCAGCTACTCAGGAGGCTGAGGCAGGAGAATGGCGTGAACCCCGGGAGGCGAAGCTTGCAGTGAGCCGAGATCGCGCCACTGCACTCCAGCTTGGGTGACAGAGCAAGACTCTGTCTCAAAAAAAAAAAAGAGTTGGTATAATGAGTCTCAAGTGCCTGGTACTGTGGTTGGCTTATTCATGTATTGCCTCATCCTACAATTACTTGTAGAAAACATTCTATATGCTGCACCCTGTGCTATATCTTAGGTACACAATGGGGAATATAACAAAATCGACAGACCTGAACCCTGAGTTCAAAAAGGTTTTGTTTTGGGTAAGATACAAACAATAAAAATGCAAATTTCAGTAACTTATATAAAATATAGAAACCTATGAAAGAGAATAGCTTAATGATCAGGGACTATGGGAGTTTCACTTTCTAGTAGGGCTCTGAAGTAGTAGTCGTTCAGGCCAGTAAGGGCAAAGGTGTGATCCTGGAAGAGGCAAAAGACTGTGTGATTCTTTGGATGTGGAAACTACTTGATGTTTTTGAGGAACTGAAAGAAAGCCGGTGTAGACTGAACTTAGTAAGCAAAAATGAATTTCAGGTCATGGGAAGGTCATAGAATTTGATGGAAAACAAAGAAATTTCACAGTTAAGGAACTTTGGGCCACCTGGCTATTAAGTAATCATTTGATCCCAGATTTCTGTGATTGCAAATTTCAGTTTGTTTATTACAGTTCTTGGAATTGAACCATTCAATAAAATAATGATGATACTAAGAATGTTGATAATACAGCTACACTGATGGATGTAGTGCTTCTATGTGTCAAGCACTCTTCCAATCACGGTTCAGGCACTAAAAATCTTAATCCTCACAGAAAACCTATGAATTATTTTAATCTTTGCATGAAACTTAAGGTTATCCCCATTGTGCAAATGTATGTAAGTTAAATAACTTGTCCATATCATATAGCTTTTAAGGGATAAACTTGAATTTGAATTCAAGTTCAAACTCAAACTTGAATTTAAACTCAAGGTTATATGGCTCTTTAGAGATTGGACAGTTAATCCTCCTCTTAATGCCAGCTTAAAGTTTTTTTTTTATTTTTTGGAGCAATTTAAAAGTTACTAAGAAGTTGTAACATCAATACAATTTTTAAAAAACTGTTTGAGAGGAAGTGGTTAATGTGATTGTACTACAACCCCTGAAACTTCTGTGTGTAATACCTACCACCAAGATTTTCTCTTATATTACCTCAACACAACCATCAAAATCAGAAAATTGAAATTAATGCCTTTTTTCTTACCCAAGACTATGTCTTCGCAGTAAAAGAATCCAGTTCAGAATCTCACATTGCATTTAGTTGCCATGTCTATTTAGTGTCTCTCAATCTGCAGAATTGTCAATGTTTGGCTTGACTTTCATGACCTTGCCACTTTTGAAGACATAGGTCAGTTATTTCATAGAATCTCCCTTAATTTGGGTTTATCTTATATTTTCTCATGATTAGATTCATGTTACACAGCATTTTGGGCAGGAATATGACAGAGACATTGCTGTGTTCGTCTCATTGCCTCTTAGCAGGTGATGTGCAATTTCAATTTGTCCCAATTTTGAGTATAATAACATTGATTACTTGATTAAGGTGATGTCTGTGAGGCTTCTTTGCAGTGCCTGAGCTCCAACATCCTGCACTGGGCTTCCGCTGTCACCCACAACCTCCCTACACAAACTCTTTCTCCTTGACTTCCTGTGACAAGCCATTGCTGCCACTCTGTCTCTTTTCCCCAAATGCTTGTGCCCTACTCCCCTCCTTGTGGGTACCCCATACTCCCCCATCAGGTTCTGGCCTTCCTATGTAGTTGCCTACTTGAGTCTCATCTAATGGCTGTTGAAAGAATTACAAAGGAAGGAGAAAAGAAAAGAAGGGAAAAAGAAAGGGAAGTATAGACAGAGAAAGAAAGAAAATAAGGAAGGAAGGTCAAAGGATAACTTTTAATTTAAACCAAAGACATAGAGAAAAAATACTGAAATCAATTGTTTTCATCTGGGAAAAAGGCTCAGAGTGATGCTAGCTGAAATAATGTTGAACACATTGTTCTTTCTCATTGCACTCTACAGAAATGATTGCCTTTGCCCAAGACACCACCGACAAAAACAACAGCAAAAAGCATTGCAATTTGAACTTATTTTTTTTCAATAAAATATGATTAGAGTATTCTCAGAGTATAGTCAAAGCATACCCATTATTAGCAAAAGGGCCAACTATATACGCAAATACATTGTGGCTTCTCTGGTGCTAAGATCCCTGGGTCTGTCTCTTTTTATCTGCTATTCAGCTGTTTAATCACTGCTCTCAGGAACTTAGGTGTTTTTCTGGTGGGAAGAGGCTGTCATTAATCATTTATCCAGGTTATTTTTTCAATTTATTCTGGGCAATATAAATGTAAAACTGGACAACACAAGTCTGCTCTTTCTCACTTTTATACCATGATGCTTTTAACATCTGTCCTTTCCATGAAGGCAACCTAACATAATAGTTACAAGAACTAGTATGGGGTCAAATTCAAGATCGGCTACTTATGACTTGAATTTGGCCATGTGATTTAACTTACTTAAGCTTCACGCCATTTATTTCTAAAATGAGTCTAACTCTATAATAGCAATTATTGTTGGGAGAACTGCCAACAATATGCCCCGGATAAAGTGCTTAGCACGGGTCATGGACCACAAAGTACAGACTTAAATGCATCAAATGTGCCTCCCATACTTGGAAATCCTTTCCTTTTGAGAACCCCTCTCCTTTGTACTCAGTAGTACTTTATTTATTTCTCTTTCATAACACAAGTTGTTTCTTATTTGTGATTATATAGAGGTCATCTCCACTTGGCTGAGATCTGCTTGTGGTCAGGAATCATTACTCATCCCTATATCCTCACCACTTAACAAAGTTATTTGTAACATAAAAAGTGGCCAATGTGTTTGTGGATTGAAGGATGGAAAATGGGAGAATTGTGAGTTGATTAGATGAATGGATAAAAGTGTGAAAGAATGAATGGATGAAATTATAAGTACAACAAATAATAAAAATTGTAACAAAGCCTGGAATAAAGGATTCAATGTTTATGGAACATCAATTAACTGGCTATTTCACGTACATTATCATGTTAATACATCATCATGTTATTATGTTATAGAAGAGAAATGTAAGGTGTAGGAAAGTAAAAACAAAAACTTAGCTCACACTTCTGTCTCTATGCATTAAGTCTGAAATTCAAGTCCAACTCTGTCTGAATTTAAGGTTCTCATTTTTTTCCCACAGCTCCATGCTAGTGATATACGGATACTGAGTTAGAAAGTACACGGGAGTATTATCTTCCCAATCTCTTAGTATTAGGCCGGGCACGGTGGCTCATGCCTGTAATCCCAGCACTTTGGGAGGCCCAGATAGGTGGATCATCTGAGGTAAGGGGTTCGAGACTAGCCTGTCCAACATGGTGAAACCCCATCTCTACTAAAAATACAAAAAAATTAGCCAGGCGTGGTGGTGGGCACTTGTAATTCCAGCTACTTGAGAATCTGAGGCAGGAGAATCACTTGAACCTGGGAGGTGGCCGTTTCAGTGAGCCGAGATTGCGCCACACCACTCCAACCTGGGTGAGAGTGAGACTTTATCTCCAAAAAAAAAAAAAAAAAGTGAATTTGAAAGAATTATCCTCTTTGCACAACAGCCAGAAGATGAAATACTTCTCAACCTGGGTATGCACAGTGACTATATATTTTTAAAAATAGAGTTTCAAACAAACTTAACTGTTTAAATATTTACAAATTTTTCTGGAGCAAATGATGTCACCTCAAATATCACTTCCTGTCGTTGCAGCATGAAACCAAAGGAACCCAAGACTCCAGCCTTCACTGTGGGCTGAAGCACAACATTTACTTGATATTAAACAAAAAAATTCGGGTGGAATAGAAACAGGTAAGAAATAGAGGAAATGTCAGGTGATTTTAGCCAAATTAAAAGATTTCAACTAAATACGGAAAACCTTTTTAGTGAGAATAGGATTCTTTAAATTAACTCAACATCTTCATTGTTGAATATATTCTTTTCCACCAAACATGTTTTTGCTATGTTAGATGATGATTAATCAGGGATTCCAGAGAGGAGACTTATTAATAGAGCATATAATTGAGCTATTTCGATTTATCAGGTGGGCATTCTAATTTTTAAAAATTTTTTCAACAAATGCCAAATAATACTGTGTATAAATATTAGAGATGGAAGAGTCAAGATATATATAGAGAGATCTATATCTCCATATACTTATCCTGTCCTACGTTTACTTCAAATACACAGAAATATCCAAGTTTAAAAGGATAGTCTCTGCATAGGTATTGTGGCGTGTCTTTTCCCTTCAAAAGGGTGTTCTATTTTCTCTTTCACTAATGGATTTACAGGTCTAAAAACAATAGTCCATATGGTCAGAAGCCATAATTTAAAAATGCCTCAATGATTTCATTACAAAGACATTCTTTAATAAACTCCAAACTTCCTTGCTTGGAATTTTACCAAAATGATTTGACAAGTATTCTTCCTGCTTTGATATGGCAGATAGTGAACTTCATCTATGTAATGCAAGACTGAAATATTTGAAATGAAAAGTTTGCTGAGCATTTCCAAATACAATCAAGCCTGTGGTGTTCTCTAGAGGAGATGTATTATTTTTAATGCTCTATTTCTGTATTAAATTGAATATTGTAAAAGATGGAGAACCTATAAAGATTTCTGAAGGATAACTCAGAGATTGTGTAGACAAAAAATTTATACAGATCACCACTAAAACATTATATATAATTTCTTGCAAAAGTTCATGCTTTTGAATAGGACGATCTAAACTAAAATGTGAACAAAGTGGAGCTTACAATAGAGGAGTGGTTATGAAATGCTTAAAAGGGAAAAAATATATTTTTTTCCCATTCATTGTGAATGTTTTTAGGATATGACTCTACTCTAGTATTCTAGAATGTAGTTTTAGGTATTTGGGAGCAAAAGCCAGTGATATAGCTTTCGTGCCTTTTGGTATCTCCTAGTCTGTGGAGATGAAGCATCTAGAAAAATAAGTAAATAATTGCAGAAATGTGAGGCATATTGGCATAGCAGCATGAAAGAGATGCCAGGAGAGGACTGAGCAGATAGCTCTTTATGGGCTGAAGGAGTCAGTGATGATTCTCTAAAATGACTGGCATTTTATTTTGTTCGTGAAAGATGAGTGGAAATTGAGTGGGAATTGGCCAGATGGATACAGTGAGGCATATTCTGAAACAAGAAAGCACAAGAAAACACACAAATGTGCACTTGGGACTACAAATTGTTCCTTATGGCTCTAATGGTTCTGTGGGACTCAAAGGCTGAGATACCAAGGCTCATGTTGCGGCATGACGGTTGATGCTGGGTTGAGATCAAACCCTAAGCCATGAACGGGAATGCACAGAAGCACATCTTATTTCTTATTTGCTGTCATTTTGAAGCCTCTTCAAATTACAGACACACACACACACACACACACAAATATATATATATATACACGTATAAGTTTAAATATAAATTTATATAAATATAGATTTTATATACTGTATATTTAGAAATAATTTCCAAATATCAGTGTATATATATTCACATGTAATAGTCCCCCCTTACCTGTGGTTTCAGTTATCCACAGTCAATGGTGGTCCAAAAATGGTGAGTCCAATACAATAAGACATTTTGAAAGAGAAAGAGACTATATTCATATAACTTTTATTACAGTATACTGTTAAAAAATGTTCTGTTTTATTATTAGTTATTGTTGTTAATCACTTACTTTGCCTAATTTATAAATTAAACTTAATCCTAGGTAAGTATCGAAAATAACATAGTATATATAGGGTTTGGTGCTATCTGTAACTTCAAGGGGTCTTAAAACATATCCCCTACATACAAGGGCGAACTACTGTATACACATAATGCATATATACATATACGAATATAAATATAAAATACAAGTTTCAAGCTACAATTTTATCAGTTGGTACATGCATGCAAAAGAGTGCACTGATAATTGTCTTCCTACATTTTGTTTGTTTGTTTGTTTTTGTTGTTTTGAGATGGAGTCTCGCTCTGTTGCTCAGGCTGGAGTGCAGTGGCGCGATCTCGGCTCACTGCAAACTCCACCTCCTGGGTTCATGCCATTCTTCTGCCTCAGCCTCCTGAGTAGCTGGGACTACAGGCGCCCGCCACCGCGCCTGGCTAATTTTTTGTATTTTTAGTAGAGACGGGGTTTCACCGTGTTAGCCAGGATGGTCTCGATCTCCTGACCTCGTGATCTGCCCGCCTTGGCCTCCCAAAGTGCTGGGATTACAGGTGTGAGCCTCTGCGCCTGGCCCCTGCTTTTAAAAATATTTTCTGATAATATTCACATTTGGTTCCTCTTGACCGATATTCTTTTTCCTTTTCTTCTTGTTTTTTTTTTTAGATGGAGTTTCTCTCTTGTTGCCCAGGCTGGAATGCAATGGTGCGATCTAAGCTACTGCAACTGCGGCCTCCCGGGTTCAAGCGAGTGTGATGGTGCGATCTCAGCTACCGCAACTGCCGCCTCCCGTGTTCAAGTGATTCTCCTGCCTCAGCCTCCCGAGTAGCTGGGATTACAGGTATGCACCACCGCATCTGGCTAATTTTGTATTTTCAGTAGAGACAGGGTTTCTCCATGTTGGTCAGACTGGTCTCAAACTCCCAACTTGAGGTGATCTGCCCGCCTTGGCCTCCCAAAGTTTTGGGATTATAGGCGTGAGTCACCGCGCCTGGCCTATTCTTTTTTATTTTGTTTTGCACAGCACTGAAAATGTGGATGAATGATAAAAGATTTTCTTGTACCCTTCCTTATTATTTTTAGTCCTGATAAGGAGTGACCCTAACAGGATTAGGAAATTCAAGACACCCCTGTTTATGACCTGATTAGGAGCATAGTTCAGTCTTCAGTATTTTCAACTCCATGTCATACCGTAATAATTAAGGTCACTTGCGTTCCGATGATTATCAACCCCAAGAAGACCTCCCTGAGAACCTAAGGTACCATTTAACTTGTGGGAGGAGTGTGCTCATCGGAGTGTTTCTCTTGGCCCATTTCCCAGCCCACGTGGCCTTTCCTAGGAACAGCATCCCTGATGTGCTCTGTAGGCAATTTCTGAAATGCCTATGAATATGTGCATTTTGTCAAAGAGCCTAAATAAGTAAAAATAGCTTTGTATAGCAAAAAACATGCATTGTCTCAATCCTTTTATTTATTGGATGAGAATGAGCACATCAAACACCACTTAACTCTCTAAAACACTGGCTCAGTTGCAATTACCGTTCCTCTTTTTTTATCTAGGTTGTATTTTGTGCCACTCATATTCTGTATTTGAAAGATATCTTTAGTTTCCCTAAGCAGGTTATTAGGTTTTCAATGATGAGATAAGGAAGTTTGGATTTTTAAAAAGCAAAGAGCCTCTTCAGGAAAGACTCTCTCATCCCTTTCCTATGAAGGTAACCATTTGTTGGAAACAGTAAGCCAGGTGCATCAACAACAACACCATTATCACGGCAGCATAACTAAACCTTAGAGAATTTGTTCAGAAAAGCTTCCGAAATGTAGATCGTTTAGAGCCAATAATTTAAACCTCTGACACACTGTCTCACTGGCCTCAACATGCAGGGTCATCTGATTACACCGACTCATAAATGGCCAAATTAATCTCAATCTCTTTAAAAGTTATTATGCCTGCAGAACTCAAGAATACATGGTTAGTTTAGTGTCACTTTTGGAAGGTTCTATTTCTCTGGTAGTAACTGATAAAGAAGGAGTTTTCTCAAAGTCAATCACTCAAAATAAAGAACTTAAATCCATGTTAACATACCTCTGGGAAGCAGATCTACATTAACCTAGTCTATGACTTCTCTGACAATAGTAAGGTTTAAGAGAGTGCTCAGCCACTGGTGATTTCTGCAAGTGATACAATGAGGGGACAGAGACAATGAGGCAAGAATAAAATGGGACCTGGGATTAAGGGATCTTCCACTCAGCCATGTGCAGAAAGTTGAAAATTAATGCAGCATTGTTTAGCAAGCAGCTGTCAAGTTATTGTAATTTGCAAAATGTTTTTTTTAAGTCTTCTCCTTCACTGAAGGCATATTAGAAATGGCTTCATTTCTGAGGAATGACAAAATTAATCCTATTTTGAGTTTCATTTGAAGAAAATGACACTTTAAGCTTGTTTTGCATTTGTCAAATGAGCCAATGAATTCAACATTTACTGAGTACCTCTGAATAGAAGACACAGTATTAGATATTAGAGTTCTAAAGATGAATTAAGAACAATAACTTTCATCAAGATATGTAATATTTGTTGGAAGTTACAAACAGAGCAGAACACTGTAATTCTCTGTGCCTGTAAATATAAGAGTTGAGATAAGCAAAGGGTGGTAGGGGAGGATGTAGGTGAATCTAATGGGTGGCCTCAAAGTTATAGGGCAAAGGCCTGAGGACAGAGGTAAGACAAACCCAGAGGAACTGGCATGGTGCTAAGAGACGGGTCTTTTGAGATTAGCCTGGAGAGATGGGTCTTTCAGGGCCTTTATTTAAAGTATTCAGTGGCAGTCCATGTCTGTATAGAAACATCTCACTGTATTGTAATAATACAGTAATGTATATTAAGTACAACTTAATTACATGTGCATGAGCGAGAGTACTGTGTTTTCATCTTCCAGCATTTAGCAGTGTGTAATATCTTGCATTCTGAAATTAAATATTTGAATAAATGAACCAAAAAACCACAAAATAGTCATGCCTAAATAAAGCTTAACAGAACAGTATTAGGACCACAATTTCCAAGCTCAAAAGGAGCATGAGCTCAGGGCTATTATCATTATACAAAATAGCAATCCAGAAGTTAGGACAATAACAACCAGTTCAGGGAATAGGAATCTAAGATGTGCAAGGAGAAACTGTCTAGGATATTGTCCATAAACAGTGTTGGAATGCCTAAAAATAAGTCATAAGTGGTGATTTGTGATGGTGTACAGGCAGTTGGTAAGCTTAACAGTGTAGAAGTTGCTCAGATGGGATGAAAAACAAAAAAAAGAAAAGAAAAGAAAGGAAAGAAAAGAAAAAAAATAAAGAAAAAATGACCTTCATCCTGTGGCACCTACTTTCATGCCAAGGCATGTCTGAATCACAATCACTTTAAATTTCCACGAGCCCTTCCCTATATTGCTCTGCTGATAAAAAACCTTCCAATAATAAAAACTGCACTGCACCCCCAGACAGAAATGCCATGAAGTTTATTTTGATAAATTGAACTCATTCCACCTCTTGGGGGTCTGCTATGGACAGAGCATACATCAGATGATTACCTGAGTTTCTGCTCATTGGAGACTTCCCATTCTGCAGTTGGTCAGAGGCTGATCAGCTGCTGCAGTTTCACTTTGATTTATTATATTTTATTTTTTCTACAGCCAAAGAACACAGCATTCAAGCAAAAGTGTCATCACCTGATAATAAATATGCTTATGCCATCTAAGCCACTCACTCAGCAGAAGGATATTTGCAGAAAAGAAGATTCTTTAGAAAAAGTTTATCTCATTCTCATAGATTTTCAAGATTGGCGGTTCCCATTCGGCTATGTGTTTGGCTTCTAATTTTGTTGTCTTTGGTGAAGAAAATTGCCGAGGGAAAGAGGAGAATTTAAGTATACCTATTCTCAGACATTAGAGCAGTAACATAGATAATGGATCAACCAGTTTTTAGATGACTTTAGGTAAATCTCTCAACTTCTCTGGGCTTCACTTTGTCTATAAAAATTTTTACATCATTCACTCAGGCATTCATTCATTCAATAAATATAGGTGGAGAGTATAGTATGTGCCAATTTCGATATTGGGAACTCAGTGATTAAAAAATAAATCAGTCATTAAGCTTAATATGCTTTATGTTTACTCTAAAACTTCACATACCATACGCTTATATAGTAGGTACTTTAATCTGGTCAGAAAGATGCCCATGAAAAAAATGACACTTGCACTGAGATTTAATGTTTAAAGACATGTTAACTAGGTAACGGAAAGAAGAGTAGAGGTTTTGAGGCAGAGAAAATAGCATTTGCAAAGGCCCTGTGGTTGAGAAAGGTTGGGGAAGTTCAAAAAATATCCAGTTGAATTTAACACAGAGAGCAGCAAAAATAAATAAAAAATAAATAAAGCAACTGTATCAGTGCTTCTCATTGTTTCATGTGCATGTGAAATACCTGGGAATTTTCTTTAAAATGCACAATCTGGTTCAGTAGGTTTGGAGAGGAACCTAAGATTTTTCTTTTCCAAAAGACACCTCCCAAGGAATGTCAGTGTTTCTGGTCCACAGCCACATTTTGAGAAGCAGAGTCCTAGATGGAGTTTACTTTCTGTCACTGTCACCAAAAAGGAGGACTTTCATTTTTTTTCTTTCAATATTATCTAGGAATGGGTAGAGATGATACATCAGGCATACTAAAGCAACTTTATCATTTTCTTGGTTTACCCTCCTTTTTCTCCTCTCACTCTTTTTCAGTTTTTACTGCTAAGCTCTCTCCAAAGAAAATATAGAGAAAGAAGTATTTTGCTCTATACAGTTAGCCAATTTCTACCCAAAGAGAATGGGGCATGAATGGCCTGGGTAGAATCTCATGCCAATAATTTGAACCAGTCTCTGTCAGTAGGGAGTGAGTTATTAAACCGTCTCAGGTCATAAGGCTGTCCTTGTAAGGAGTGACCTGATTTACCTGAATATGTGATTATAAAGATACCAACACTGGAGGAGGAATAATTGTGAGCTTATCAGTGACCCCAATGTGTGTTTCCCAATACTGTCACAACAATAGAATAAATATGAAGCTATAGTTCAGGATTTATGAATGTTTAAGCAAAGTACAGAAAAGATGCCGTTCAACCTTTAAATAATTCTATTTATTTATGCACTAACACAAGTAAGACATAATTATTTAGAAAGGGAAGAAAGTGACACATTAACTGCTACTACTACGAACTCTTCAAAGTGTATGCTGGAACTTAATGAATAGAAGTCTACTTTGAGTCACTCTAATTCTACAGACAATTCCTGTGTATGTTCAGAATAGAGTCAGTAAAGGTCAAAAGCATCACATGTGATCCAGGACCTCACCACAAGGTCCTCTGGCATGTGGAGAATTATAATGAGACCATGAATTCTTTCTTTATTTAGCAGGTCCCTTTTAGTGGAAAGAAAGCCTCAGTTGAAAAGGAAGAAGCCAATGTAAAAATGTGAAATCAAAGCTCTTCTGATATGGTTGAAAACAAGTAACACACTATAAAAAGCTGCAAGCTTGAGTTATACACATGTGACCTTGGAAATACCATTGGCTCATCTACTATTCATGGTAAGTACATACCATAATATGCCTTTGACTTCAAGAAGCTTACATTCTACTGAGGAGGACAATAATGGTTACAAGCAATTCCCATAATAAAAGAAGCTTCAATGGTAGAAGAAATTGTAATAAGGAGAAATATCTTTGGGAGACAAAGAACCAAAACTTGCCTTTGTGGATTTCAGACATTACAGCTGAGGCCTGAAGAATCAGGGAAAGATTTTTAGGTGGCAAGGAACTTGACAGAGCAAACAGCCATTTACCATTTCCTCACATGCTTCCTGAGACTGTATCAGCAGGAAGAATGACAGGTGGAAACAGGGTATGGGTATTTGTGTGTGAGTTGGGAGAGGAGACAGCATTGGGGGTAAATTACCATGAAAGGAGATTAACCTGGATAGGTAGGAGGAAGATAGCACAAATATAGTTTCTTGGAAATTCAACTGGACTTTCAACTGGAAATTCAATTGGCATGAAAATACATCTCTTTTCTCTTTTAATGGCCAGGATAAACTCGAAAGGTAAAAGAAGTGTCTGGAAGATTGTTAGACATCTATTAATGTTGGTAAACAGGAGCCCTATTAATACTAAAATGTAGAGTAGTGCATGTGTGTATATGTCTGTGTGTACCATGTGTAAACAGAGGTTTGCAAAATTCCTGTAAGTATGAAAGATGGAAAGGAATACCCTTACTTCTAGCTTTTCTACATAAAGTTAAGGATGGACAACCAAAAAGTATTCTAGAAGGATTTTTCATCTCTAAGGGTTAGTTGGAAAACATTATTTATTTTATTAACCGAACATTTTTAACTTTGTTTAGAGCTTCAAATGCCAGGCATTTTTGATAAATGTCTTATATTAAAGATTCTCTTTGATTCTGTATACTTCCAGATCAATGTGGTCTCATGGCAACCCCATTAAGGAGTTAATTATTGTCCCAAGGTTACAAATGAGGAATTGTGTGTACATGTAGTTTGCTGGTTAGAGAATTGGACAGGATTTACAATACCGAGTAGCAGAAACTGTGACACATGTGATTGTAGTAACAGCCTTCTAAAACCTAGATCTAATTCTACTGTCACATGCTTTACAAGGCAGGGTGAGAAGGAAGAACGGAGAAGATGGCAATTACCTCTTTGCTTTACTTTTAATCCATCCTCATTAGAGGACTGTTAATGATTCACATATTCTTGTTTAATACTATATAGTAACTTTGACATATATCTATTAAAATTGTATTCTTCTAGTGAATGCTGCATCTATCTGGAAAACAAAACACAATAAAATAAAACACACACAGAAAAATAAGGTCATAAGCCAATTTAAATGGCAAATATAGAAGAACACACAGGAAGAGGACAGACAGATGGGAGAGAGGTGTCGTGTTAATTCGTTCTCAAACTGCTATAAAGAACTACCTAAGACTACAAAGAAAAGAGGTTTAATTGACTCACAGTTCTGCAGGCTGCACAGTAAGCATGGATGGGGATAATTCAGGAAACTTACAATTGTGGCAGAAGGTGAAGGGGAAGCAAGCACATCTTTACCATGCCGGAACGGGAGAGGAGAGAGAGAGAGAGAGAGAGAGAGAGAGAGAGAGGAGAGAGAGGTACCAAACACATTTAAATGAACAGATCTTGTGAGAACTCACTCACTATCACAAGAACAGCAAGGGGGAACCCACCCCCATGATCCAATCACCTCCCACCAGATGCCTCCTCCAACATTGGAAATTACAATTCAACATGAGATTCGGTTGGGGACACAGAGCCAAACCATATCAGGTATTTTATAGTTTCTCAAGACTTGTGTTTGTCTTTTGATTTAGGGGAAAAAGTAATCCATAGAGGGAGAGGCAAAGACAAGGGATTTGGGGGCATATCTTGCTTTCCATGAAGTTATTAGTATCTTCATTGAACTTGCAAGACATATCAAGCTGCTTCCACAATTCTGCAATACATTTACAATGTATTAAGAAAATGAAAAAATGCTTCTATATTCAGCGATGTTAATATGATGCATGCTTTACACGGACTGGGGCATTCAGACAGGACCTGGCACATAGTCAGTGTTCAGGAAACGATTAAATGTTTAACTAAAGTGACTTAATTATCAGAAAGGAAAGCATAATAGCTTTTTTTGGTATAGGCAATGATTTTATAATTGCTTTTTTTTTTCTTTTTGTATTTCTCTCTTTTGCTAGAAGCATCTCATCTAGCTTTTCTCCTTTAATTTCAAGCAATTCTGTTCAATTCCAAAAGCATGTGACAGAAGAGATATGAGTATGTGCATGTATATATGTGTCTAGGTGTCTGTATGCATGAGTTTGTGTCTATATATATGTGTATCTGTGAGCATATGTTCTTGTTTGTGTATAAATTTATGTATATGAGCTGTGTGTATACATGGCTATGTAACTGTGTGCAATTGGATCAGTATGTGTGTTTGTTTCTATATATAGATTTGTGTGTTTGCCAGTCTGCATGTGTTTAAATCAGTGTGGGTGCATGTGTACATGTTTATATGTGTGTGTCTCTAGTCTATGTGTATATGTGCCTCTGTAGATATCTGTGTGTCTCCTTGTTCACATATGCCTTTATGTATCTGTACCTGTAAGTATGAATTTATGTGTATATTTGGATGACTGTGTGTAGGTAACTATGTGATTGTGTGTCTTTACACATGCACCATTAGACATATTTCCTACATTTTAAGTAAGTGAAAGTGTTGTTTGCAGAAAAAATAAGCTATTTAGAACCTAATGTTCTGGAAATATTCATATTAAAATACATCTGCTTTTATCATATTCTATATTGTCTACATTTAGCCACAGGTGTTAACAAAATGATAAGCACCTGGAAAGTAGACAATCTAAAAATTGTAATGGTATTCATATTAATCTTAGCTTTCTCCATGAATCAAAGTATAAACAATGAGGAAAAATCAGTCTAAGATTTTCATAGCCGGTGTAAACAGGACTTATTTCTCATAGAAATATGCTGACACTAGGCACATTCTGAAAGCTTATAGTGTGATGAATCCACTTTCTTAATATTAATTTACTCTTATAGTTTGTTTAATATAATATTGATTAAATTAGTATTTGGATTAATGATCTTTTAAATGCAAAGGAACTAAAACAGTATTCTCTTAATACAGAATGATAACTGAAAGACTAAAATGTTTGGAAATCAGTTTTTAAAGTATTTTATTCTATTGTTCTATTTCATATATCATTACATATCAAAGTATATATTATACTAATTTATACTATATTAAAGTATAATCATAAATATGTAGAATTCAGGTGTTACCCACCTACATATTGTACACACACACACACACACACACACAAACACACAGATGTATATATAACATAAATCAAATATATGTAAATGATCTCAAAAAAAGCATTTATTGAATATTTGATAAATGCCAGATATTATGCTAGGTACAGAAAAGCAAGTTAAAAAAGCATGTACTCCAATTTTCAGGGACTCAGTTTTAATTAGGTACAGAGCTTGCTACTTGGTTTGTAGGTCCTGGTGAAAAAATATAATCTTTTGTTTGAAAAGCCAGAAAAAAATGCCATTAAAAATGCACACAAAGATGTTTCCTTTCTTTTTAATCATCTCTTCCTCTCCAGTTGTCTTATAATTTATTTATTTAATTATTTTATTTTTTCATTGAGATGGAGTGCCACTCTGTCTCCCAGGTTGGACTGCAGCGGCGTGATCTCTGCTCACTGCAGCCTCTGCCACCTAGGTTCAAGTGACCCTCATGCCTCACCTTCCCAAGTAACTGGGACTACAGGAATGTGCCACCATGCCCAGCTATATATATATGTTTTTTGTATTTTTAGTAGAGACGGGGTTTCACCATGTTGGCCAGGCTGGTCTCGAACTCCTGACCTCAGGTGATGCGCCCACCTTGGCCTCCCAAAGTGCTGGGATTACAGGCGTGAGCCACCACCTCGTCATTTTTAAAAATTTAATTTGCAGGCAAATTTCATTCTAAGCAAGTGATTAGCATTAATTTTCCCATTGGTTATACTGTGCAATGATAGTTTTAAATGTAAACATCAGAGCATTTTAGCCCTTAATCAGAATCACTGAAATTGCATGCTTGTATCACAGTTTATCCTTGGAGGGTGCCTTGAGGGTTCCTTGAGTTGGTCTGAAGAGATAAACACAAGCCAGATTCAGAGAAGGTTAGAAGGAGATCTTCACCCTAGACAGGAGTCTGCAGAAGGAATGCTCTAGAGCAAGGTTATACTCATGGGGCAAGAGCAGACTGTCACAGGTACCCTGGGATTGCCCTTCCTGCCAACTCCTAGACCTGCTCAGTGTCCCAGCCAGATGTGGGGTCTTGAACATTGAGCTAGATATTTCCATTTTTCATGAGTCTGCCACTCCAACCCATGGCAGATAGCCAACTCCACAAAGATATTTAAACCTATGTGCCAGGTTACACGAACAGAGGTTGGAAAAGCTCACTCTCACCAAGAGACACTCCAACCCATGGCAGATAGCCAACTTCACAAAGATCTTTAAACCTGTGTGCCAGGTTACACAGACAGAGGTTGGAAAAGCTCACTCTCACAAAGAGACAGGTGCTCTGGGGTGCTGTCAGCCCAGTGTAGGGTGGCTGCCACAGTGCCCCATCCCAAGAGGCCATGGAGCAGTGTACCCAACTCTCCAGACACTCATAGGGTGAAAGATGGCAGCAGTGGCAGGGTGAGGATGGGGAGGGGAGGATGGGGGGCTTGGGGTAGAGGGAGTGGGAGAGTGAACTGCTGAGAATCTGCTCTTGGGAGGCTGTGGGAAGTTGTACTACTGATAAACCAAGGCTCCAAACCCCAGGGACATGCTCCATTGACACATCATTCAAAACATAAATTTCAAGATAAAATTATTAAATATTTAAAAATGACTATTGCAGTGCATTATTCTCTAAGCAGAAACCCTTCTGGAGAGGGTAAGGCATAACTGGTCACACACTCTGAAGCCAGCCCTGGATAGGAGAGAAAGATGCATAGTTTATCTAAACAATTGAAATAGGTACAGATGTAGCTTGTTTTATGGAACTTTGCTTTATTGCACTTCACAGGAATTGTATTTTTAACAAATTGGAGATTTGGTGTTAACGGTATCAAATCTCCAATTTTTTAAAAATGCAATTTTTAATTTTTATTAATGGTTATTAATGGTAGTGATTATCTGAAGTAGGTTTAGAGATGAATATGAATTTTCTGAGATAAAAAATCATTGGAAATGGAACAAGAAATCTCATGTCCAAAGTCTCAGAAATGTGGAAGATCATGGCATATTTGCAAAGCTGCAAATAATGACATACCAGTAATGTGTCCCTGCATGCGTGTTTACATATGCATTGGGGGTGAAAAAAAGATGCAGGAGAAGGTAGTAGGGAGTTGCAGTTGGTTGCATTGTGATAAAACTTCTGTTCCTCCATAAAAGGCTTGTGTTCTTTAGGGACATGAAATGAATTAAGACATATATCTCAAACTCAAAAATGAGACCTCCAATGCCAAACAGTAAAAGATAACAGGATAAATTATATCAATGCTTTACAGTCTCAAGGTGTCAGAAATTCTTCATTGATACTGCAGCAACATCAAACATTCAAAGGTCTTAAGTTAGATTAGAAATTGGAAGAACAGAGCATGCTTGATATTAGACTCTTAAGATTTCTCTGATTTCCTTCCATTAGGATATGTCATTTACGTTATTAGAGAACTACAGTTAAATTCAACTTAGTGATGGGTGTTTAGGCCACTATGACTATAAGTATATGCCTGGATAGCACCTCAGACAAAAATTTGCCTGTTAACTGTGGAAATTTTATTTATTTATTTATTTATTTTTGAGATGGAGTCTCACTGTGTCGCTCAGGCTGGAGTGCAGTGGCATGATCTCAGCTCACTGCAACCTCTGCCTCCCAGATTCAAGCAATTCTCCTTCCTCAGCCTCCCGAGTAGGTACGATTACAGGCACGCGCCACCACGCCCAGCTAATTTTGTATTTTTAGCAGAGACAGAGTTTCACTGTGTTGACCAGGCTGGTCTCGAACTCCTGACCTCAAGTGATCCACCAGCCTTGGCCTCCCAAAGTGCTGGGATTATAGGCATGAGCCACCGCACCTGGCCTGGAAATTATTTTTGAAAAATTCCCATTTGATTTGTGTTTTATTTTTCAGGAAGAGAATGTATAGATGTTCAATGTCTAAGCAAGAGAAACAAACATTCTTTTCCCTCTCTCCTCTATCTTGTTCATAAAGCAAGAATTATAAGCCTGCAGTGCGGCTTACAGGTAAAACCAGAAATATTTACATTACATACTCTTTGGCTTATGACCAAAGAAGAGACTTTTAGTGGTTACTAAGAAATCTGCCCTCTAAACAATAGAACTATTAGAGAATCCCTAACCTTTCTTCATCTCCATAGAGGAGTGTTCATTTCTGATTTCCTCAAAGTGTATGTGTTATTCCTGTTTCATGTAGCCCAGAAATCCTGCACTAACTTATCACAATGATTGTGAATATATTTATTTATGTCTATATGCCAAAATGTGCTCAATTACAATATTCCCTTCTAGCCTGATCTTTGGCTATTTTTTTCTAACCAAAATCCCTTTGGGTAGGATCCACTGGGCAGGATCCATCCATTGGATCCTGCTCAATGGATCCCTGCCCAAAGGACCAATGAGAAAAACATGCTTCCTACCCAGTGAGAGCAGGGCCATCTTTTTCTCATTTCCTCTGGTATATACAGGCTATCAGTATTGATTTTGGCTTACAGATAGCACTGAATATTTTTTGTATTAATTTGAAGTCAATTAAGTTAATTAGTCATAGTAATTAACTATGGCTTTAAAATCATAAAGCAGAGAATCAATTGTTAATTTAATTTTTCAAAACCATGCTTAAAACTTTTTTCTTAATGTATAGCTTAGGTTACAGAGTCACTACCTCTGAGTTACAGACCCCTTTACCCGGGATTAAAAGGGTGGGAGTAGATCATGTAGAGGTGGGTGTAGAATTATACTAGGGATTCATTAACCCATAAGCATATTCACACTCCTCAATACTCAAGTGCATACTAAAGCTTAAGTAATATTATGTAAATGTCCATGGACTTCGGACTTGTTAAAAAGATCTCCTCATTTCCAAAAGAGTGAGGAATCTACGGCCTATTAGAAACCAAAAGAGTTTATCAACGTGTTAATGTATGTGTCTGTGAGTGTCTGGGATGAATGGGGGTAGTCAGTTCTACCCCCATTCATCCCAGTGAGTGTCTGTGAGTGTCTGGGATGAATGGGGGTAGTCAGTAGTAGTTTCGCACGGTGAAAGTACTACCTTTTGTCCTGGTTAAAAGGGTGTGTTACTGCACCACAGAATTTGGCCATTTTTGCCATCATCCTCATTTTCATCCTCGCTCGTTAAAAATGGAATAACATTTTTAATAAATGATACTTTATTGAGTCTTTGCAACATGTAAACACAGCCCAAGGTAATAAACAGCCATTACTTTCCATTCTCAAAACAGTTCTTCCAGGTAAACATTCTTATCCCTATTTTATAAATGAGAAAACTGAAGCGTCCAGGGACTCAGAGACTTTGTCTCAAAGTCCTGGAGTTCTTGATTGGGTGGAGCCCAGGATTCAAACCCAAGTCACTGTGACTGCAGAGCCATTTTTCTTTTCTTCATAATATGTTTCTCAAAGTGCAGTTCATGGGCCACCTGTGGGTGTAGATTCTTGGATAGAAATGCATTTCACATGTTTAGGGAGTACAATTCATGGGGCATTCCTTCCTGTGTCCCATCTCTAGAACTATAATCTCTGAAGGTGGGATGAAAGAATCTGCATTTGAACAGGTAGCATTTGAGAACCACTACCATGGACTATACTGTTATGGAAGAAAAAATGTACTTTGTGAAACTCTAAATTTCCATTTAAAATCAAAATTGGGAGAGGTAAGAAATGGCAAAACAGGACATGATACTTGCTAAAGCAAGAAGGTCCCTCCTTGCATCTGTTTTTAAAACCTCTCAGGTCCATATTGCTGAGTCTTCACTGGCCATAAACACTTCCAGGAACTTCAGGCTGATTGAATTGGGCACCAGATTTTATCATTGGGCAGCATTTGCTGTGGCTATGACTTGGGCATTGGAGTTGCTGCTTGTATAATAACTTGAGTGTGTGTGACATCAAAAGTCTATTTTCAGCATTTGCATATTGCATATTTAAACATATTGGGATTTTCTTAGTCTTTGTTTATAGTTTAATCTTTATATTCTAAGAAAATGTCATTTTTAGCTCCAGTCCAAATACTGTATAATCACAGCACTCTGATGTAAACTGCAGAGCTGAACTTGAGAAAACTTAATACATTCCACTTCGTAATGTAATAACCAAGTTGAAATCCAACTGCACTAGGAAATGACCAAGAATGTAAGGGCAGTTTAAAGCCTAATGATCATATTTGCTGCTGCTGATGGTGATGATGATGCCCATTGCCTAAAATGACTGTAGCCAAGGAAAGAAAAGCAATTGATTCTGAGCTCGTAAAAAAAATTTTTTTTTAAAGAAAATTGTTTCATTCAGGAAATGTTCTTGTGCTTTCCCAAAATGCCAAAAATAAATAAATAAATAATTTTCGATAGCTTTTCTTCTATCCTCCTTGGCCCAAATCCCAAATCAGGAAAGATGAAGCTTCTAGCTCCCCATTTGTGTCATACTGACTCTGGATACTCAATACGTATTTCTTGTTTTCCACTTGTTTTGTCCATCAGCTTGCTGCAGGAGGCAGCTTAAGCTTAGAGGTTAAGAACACGTGTACTGTGAATAGACTGTTACGAATCAGGACTCTGTCTCTTTATAATTGTGTAAAGAAACTTGACCTTGTCACTCTTTGGACTATTATTCCATCCCCTAAAAACAGAGATGATAAGAGTGCCTATCTCCTAGGGATTGTTTTGAATATTAAGCAAGATCATATATGCAAAACAGTGAGCCAAGAGGCTGCCCCACATTACATTCTCTGAAATGGTAGTTATTATTAATAAACCACTGTACATTTTAGAACAAAGGACTGGTAAAGCCATTTCTAAGGATGATTAATTTAGAGTTCTAGACTGGAGGGAGTTGGCCAACAGGCTAAGGGATGAGACAGGAGGTGTTGACGATTCTACAGCTTAACATGCAGAGTTTGTGCCAGAGTGGTGACGATGTAGGTTCTTAAAAAGAAGGAAAAGAGACCTTACATCGATTAATTGATTTTTAGGAGCAAGCACTGTGCTCTGTGCTCACATTTATTAATTCACGTATCCAGGTTTGAAACTTAGAATTAACCACAAAGCAACAGTAAGAAAAGATGGAATAAAGCACTTTACTTTATAGGCTGTCATGGATTACACAGGTAGTAGAAATAGAAGGCCTGGAGTCCCTTCATTTACTGGCTACATTTACTGGCCCTAAAAACCTCAGCAGATCATTTTACCTTTATGGGCATCCACTTTTGCATCTGTAAAATGTGGGTAATACTGCTTTGGAGACAATGAGCAGGACATTTGCACACATTAGAATTTATAAAGTAATTTTTCAGGAATTATAACATTATAATTTATCCTGAATGTCTTCTGTTTCATCTTTCCCGATTTCCCTCCTAATGGAACTGATAGTCCTATCTGCTCACTAATCTGTAGAATTGCTATAACTTATACATACCAATACCTACACTTGTTTTCTGTGTCTTTTTTTTTTTAAATACTCATTTTACTTGGCCATTGAGTTCCAAGTTAGATGAGCTTTCATTGTTCTTTGAGATACATCAAAATGTTCTCTGTGAGGCCTTCCTTACTCCTGCCACCTAATTTCCTGCGTTTGACCATTCATTTTCCTGTGGTCACATAGCAATTTCCATGTACCTCTTAGTACTCGTATCACATTATTTTATAATTGTCTACAAGCTCCTAGAAAAAAAGGCTTATTCATTTTTGTATCCATAGCACCTGGCATGGCTTCTGGCAGGGAAGTGGCATGCAATAAATTTTTTTAAATGTAATAATTTTAGCTCATTGTTATTAGTACTATGTGTATTAGTGGGGCATTCCCATTTCAGTTTTGGACACATTACCATGAGGGAGAAAATCAGAAATCAAAGAAGAAATTTCTACTAAGCTTCATATAATACATGAAAATAATCCTAGCATATCTAATATATGTAAGAAATAATGGTGCAGTTACTAATATAATACATTATACAATGTTTCATAGCATATATACTATGTGAGACGTGTCACTTTTTCAAAATGAATGCTAGATCTTTCTGGCTCTAACCTGTTAAAAGGGTCCTGCGGTTTCTTTCTGCATTCAGTCCTTTGCCCCCTCACTTCATCCACACTTCTGACATCAGTATATACACAGTCACATCATAAATTCAAATACTTTCTGATCTAGTAGCTCCCTTTTTTTCTCATCAGCTATTCATTTTATCATTAGCTACAAAGTTTAATTAGAACTTTGACCTCGGGAAGGAAGCGGCTAACTATGGCGACCGCCACGCAGCAGTGGGTTCTGGTGGAGATGGTACAGGCGCTTTACAAGGCTCCTGCTTACCATCTTATTTTGGAAGGGATTCTCATACTCTGGATAATCAGACTTCTTTTCTCTAAGACTTACAAATTACAAGAACGATCTGATCTTACAGTCGAGGAAAAAGAAGAACTGATTGAAGAGTGGTAACCAGAACCTCTTGTTCCTCCTGTCCCAAAAGACCATCCTGCTCTCAATTACAACATCGTTTCAGGACGGAGTCTTGCTCTGTCACCAGGCTGGAGTGCAGTGGTGCGATCTCGGCTCACTGCAACCTCCACCTCCCGGGTTAAAGCCATTCTCCTGCCTCAGCCTCCCGAGTAGCTGGGACTACAGGCACAAGCCACCATGCCCACCTAATTTTTGTATTTTTAGTAGAGATGGAGTTTCACCATGTTGGCCAGAATGATCTCGATCTCCTTTTTTTTAATTAAAAAGTAAACTTTAATGTCGAAAATGCAAACTTGGGGAGGGCAGAAAGATCACACACAAGGCTGTCACTTCACACGTGGAAGGTTGCACAGCGGCTGGGCAGAGACGCTCCTCACTTCCCAGATGGTGAGGGGGCCGGGCAGAGGCGCTCCTCACTTCCCAGACGGTGCAGGGGCTGGGCAGAGGCACTCCTCCCTTACAAAGGGTGAGGGGGCTGGGCAGAGGTGCTCCTCACTTTCCAGACAGGGCGGTGGCTGGGCAGAAGCGCTCCTCACTTCCCAGATGGGACGGTGGCCGGGCAGAGGCGCTTCTCATTTCCCAGACGGTGAGGAGGCCGGGCAGAGGCACGCCTCACTTCGCAGACGGGATGGCGGCGAGGCAGAGGCGCTCCTTACTTCCCAGACAGGGCAGCTGGGCAGAGGCGCTCCTGACTTCCCATACCGTGAGGCGGCCGGGCAGAGGTGCTCGTCACTTCCCAGATGGGGTGGAGGCCGGGCAGAGGCGGTGCTCCTTCTCAATTCCCAGATGGTGGGCAGCTGGGTAGAGGCACTCCTCACTTCCCAGACAGGGCAGTGGCCAGGCAGAAGCACTCCTCACTTCCCAGAGTGTAAGGGGGCCGGGCAGAGGCACTCCTTGCTTCGCAGACAGGACGGCAGCCAGGCAGAGGCGCTCCTCACTTCCCAGATGGTGCAGGCAGAGATGCTCCTCAGGTCTCAATCTCTTGACCTCCTGATCCGCCCGCCTGGGCCTCCCAAAGTGCTGGATTACAGGCGTGGGCCACCACGCCTGCCCTGCCGTCTCTCCTTTCTCCTCCTAAGCAGCTCTCTTAGTCTCCTGAATTTTGATGTTCTACTTAGCACCCTCATGTTCTTATGCATGTTGCCCTGCTGGAGGCGTCCTTCTCTTTGGGAAGCCTGACCCACCAACAGTGCCTCAGGAGATAGACATGGAAGCTTAGCCGGTGGGGGCCCCTCGTCTCTATCCCACCTCAGTTGCAGGGGAGGGGTCAGTTGCAGCTGCAGCAGTGGCCCCGACAGTTTTCTTTTGCGGGAACTGTGGCCGGCAGCTCTGGGTGGAGAAGACCTACTTGATCCAAGAGCTGCAGGATCCTTGGGCTGCATGTCCTCCCCCACCATCAGCAAGCCTGGAGAGCTGGGCAGGTGGTCTTTACCCAGCACCTTCAAGGCCCCCTTCTCTGGCCACAGGGAGCAGCCCGGAACTGGGGCAGGGAGCACTGTTGGAAGTGGGTCAGGCTTCCCAAAGGGAAGGATGCCTCCAGCAGGGCTGTGTGAACTGGCGACTCCATGGCCCTTGGAGTAGAAACTCACTGCATGCACCTGGGCCTTGTCAGTCTGGTTGTTTTCTGTCAAGCTCTTGAGGTGGACATTTCCCTCCAAGGTCCTGGGATTGTACCAGGAGGAAGTGAGGTTTCCCTGAGTCTCCAGGGGCCTAGAGGTGGAGGCCGCTTCCCCATTGCTACAGGGGCCCCTTTTATTGTCCTCCTGCCCCTGGGTCTCTACCTGGTCTTTCACCTCCGTTGCTTCTTTGGGCTCTTCTGCCCTCATCTCCGTCTTCGGGAGCCTGGCTGGGATCACCTGCTCATCAAATGAAGGAAGTTGAAGGTTAAACTTGCCTCTGAGACGAGGGATCCTCAGGGGCCTGAGGTGTCCAAACATCGTGGAGTTGCGAGCAGACAGCGCAGGTTTCTTCCTCGAGGGGGGGCTCCAGACCACAGGAGGCAGGACCCTCTGTGGGGTGCCCGTGTTCTGAGGGCTAAGACACAGCCTCATAGGGGCACCATCCCACCTGTCTGGAAAAGAAGGCCCAAGATGTCGCTGACGGTTGAAGAGTGGGAAATGGCCCCAGATTCCCCGGGCAGGCACAGGTGCAGGAGCCGCGGGGTGAGCCCGGCCAGCTGGGAAGGCCTCACGGACAAGACGAGCAGGTGGCCGATGGCATGGCCAGGACCTGCGGCGGAACCAGGAACAAAATACGCTTAGTGAGTTGCCCATTTTGAGCGAGTTGTGCACAGACGAAAGTAAGGGTGAGAAGCGGAGAGGATACTCCTAAGTCACCCACTTCTCTGTGGCCGGGTGCACACTGGGCATCTGGGAGTTTATGACATCACAATGGGGCTGGTGACAGAGCTAGGGTGTGGAGGAGTGCTTAGGAGCCCAGCGAGGGTGCCTACAAGAGGAGTCAAAGGGCAAAGGGTGAGACCCTTCCACCGGTTCCCCTGGACTCTAGCCTCAGGGACGTCCTGCTCCTGGGGGCAGGTGTGTGGCCCTGGATGGGCCCCCTGTGGGGCTGTTGGGGGTGCGGGGCTGATCTGCCAGAGCGCTTCCGCCTGGCGCCTGGCCCAGGTGCTGGCTGGCACCCAGTGGCCCTGTCTTGGCCGGCCCTGTACCCCGGGTTGCAGGGCCAGAACCTGGAAGCAGAGCGCAGGACCAGCCAGATCCCGCCAGGCTCTCCAGTGCCTCTGTGCTGCCTGGAGCCAGGCCTGCCTTCTCCATGGCTGCCGTGGCCTCAAGGGCCACCAGCCTCGCTCCACAGGTTTCCAAGAGAGGATGCAGTGCCCTGACCTGACTGGATGCACCTCTTACCACATGCCTCCCTGGCAGGCAGGGTCTCCACTTTTTACAAGTTTGCCTGAGACCATTCCTCAGGTCATTCAGGTGATCATGGCCCAGCCAGGCTTTGAACCTGGGCTGTGCGATTCCACAGCTGGCACTCTGGCCTGTGTGCCTCATGATCATGGATACAGCATCTATTCTTATTTTTTCCTCTAGTCCTGGGGTACTTAGCACCGTGGCATATCTGTAATAAGCACATGCACACCTCGAAGGAGGTCTTCACTTCAACATACAAGTTGACCATGGCATGCTCTGGGCTCCAGTCCTCTACAAAGATGTAGGGCAGGAACTACCAGTTGTCAGCACAGCACCATCCCACATTGCTCTTCTAATGGAGACTTTCACCCCAGATGTTCTTTCTCGTCTGATGGGAAGGATCCAAGTATGTAAAGATTATGTTCTAGATCAGCTTTGGTCTGTCCTAAAAGAAATTTGCCAGTGGATTATTCCATATGGATAAAAGTCAGTTTCTCTGGTCTTCCTGGAATGTGTCTAGAAAGCAAATACATTATTTACAATTCATAGTAGATCAATGTATTGGATTAAAATATGACAAACATAATTTGGTCATTGTGAGCATGCCAGCTCAGTCAACTATTCACCATACATGATGCCCTAAATATAACTCTAGGTTTTCTTATGCCCAAGAGAGGGACATACTCTTGGGTGTCTGGACTAGGGAAACATGCATGAAAAACCATTTGGCCACTCTACATCTTGTTACTGGAGAATTGAAACCATCTATATTCAAAGATATTATTAAAAGGCAAGAAGTTAAAAAAAAAAAGAACATTGATCTCATGATTCTTTCATTATATCCATTTTACATTATCCTGCCTTATACCCACAATTGAAGAGTTGCCACTTTATACCTAGGATAGAGGAGTTGCCACATCATGAGCATGCTGGCACCAAGTGGAGGCACATCCAGGTTTTTCAGCATTCTCCTGGTAAGGTTGATTAGCTCTCGGAAGCTGAGCATATGTTTAAAATCCTTAACCAACATCACTTAGATTTCCTTATAGTTGCATCTCAGTCTATAGCTAAATGGACATGAAATCAATATGCACTCATGGAAAGCTAGCCCCCGTGAGATACATTCTAAATAATGCAGCATATCGTAACAATTGGATGGTACATAATTCCCTCCATCTAAAACAAAATTGATTTTTGTCCTCTATTATCCCAGTACTGCAAAGGGATCTATTTTCATTTAAAGTTTCAAACTTTTCAGCCGTGCACCATAAACAAACACTAAAAGATTTCATAATATTCTCAAGATTGTCCACTCTCAGCAGCAAAGAGTGCCACTACGAATGCTGAAGGCTAAGAAGTAATAAACCATCAAAAGCTTCATTGCAAATGCTCTGAAAAATCTCTTTTCCTTCCACAGCTCAGCAGGGTGCAGCTCTGCTTACATTTTCAGGCCATGAATGAGAAAGTTGCCTTTGGCCTTATCTGACCCCTTTCTCCATGTCAGAAAGGGAGAGAACACTCACAAGATGGAATAAAAGAATTGAATGGTTTGCTTCTTGTTTCCGTCAACCCAATGTCTGCTGCCAAAAAAAAAAAAAAAAAAAAGGAAAAAAAACACACATTCGAAGCAAATGCTTCTTATTAATATGCATATGGATCTCCTGATGATCTTGATAAATTACTGTTTCAGGACATCTGGGGTGAGGCCTGAAATTCTGCATTTCTAACAAGCTTCCATGTGATGTTGATGCTGCCAGCCCAAGGACCACATTTTGAGTGGTGTGTTGGGCAGAATCCTAACAATGCCCTTCTTCCTCTAAGATTCTTATACCCTGGTTATTTAATCAAAGATCAATTTAGGTTCTGCTGGAAGGGAAGTTTGCAGTTATAATTGAAGTTCCAAATCAGTTTTAATTGACCTTAAGATGCAGAGGTTATCCAGGTGGGCCTGCTCTAATCACATGAGACCTTTAAAAAGCAGGATAGGGGAGCAGAAAGGAGGTAAAGAAATTCAAAAGATGCTAGGGGTTTGACATGCTGTTGTTGCTTTGAACATGGAGCATGCGTGTGAGAAGGAATGTGTCAGCTTCAAAGAGATGAGGGTGGCCTCCAGATGACAGCCGGCAAGGAAATGGGGTCTTGTGAGGAACTGGATCCTGCCAAAAACTTGAATGAGCTTGGAAGGGAGTTTATCCCCAGAACCTCCAGAAGAGAATGCAGCCTTGCTGATACATGGATGTCTTGAGAACAACTGAGAAACTCTAGATAGAAAAAAACAGCTCAACCATGCTGTGCCCAGACTCCTGGAGTCATTTTAAATGGCTAAGTTTGTAATAATTTGTTAGGTAGCAGCAGAAAACTAATACAAGTAGGAAGGTTGTAATTCAATAAAACTAAGTGAAATCTTGCCATTCATATTTGGGGTAAAAAACAAGTTTTGATCCTTGTTTCTTGATAACCAAACATAGAATCATTTTTAATGCAAAGAACACAGAATTTGCAATTGACAATATACATATAGTGGTCTCAACTCTTTCTCTTTTACTTCTTTGACTTTGAAGAAACCTTTAAACCTTTCTGGACTTCAGTGTCCTCAAGATTTTTTTTTAAAAAAAGATTAATATTACCTCTTTCAACTAACTGCTATAGAGAGGTTAAGAATAGCATACAAAATAAGTGAAAAAGTCTTGTAAACTATAAAATGCTAGTCATATATACAGAATCAGATATAGTGTACGTTTAAATTACGCCTCATTGAACTTTTCTCTGGTCATAAGAAAGTTCTTCAGATGTTGAAATACCATAATTTACTGTTCAAAAATCTCATCATTGCAAGTGACAGTAGATGAAAGTGAAAACAAACACTTTGAAAACCCCTTGTCGTCACCCACCCTTCTTATCAGAGGTAGTTTTTTAATAGTAGAGTCTCAGACACAAATGTATATCACGTCCTTTTTTTTTTTTTTAAGAGCTGTAAAGTAAAAGCTGTATTTTATTGGATTAATTGAAAAAACTAGTCCATCCAACTTTTTCTCTTTTGATGTCAAATGTACTCAGGTACGTTGTAAATAATTCAGGTGTTATTTGTAAACAAGATTGCTCTCAGATGAACAGGATGGAAATTACTGAGAGACAGGATATGGGTGAGTTGTGTGTTGTGAAAGAGCCATGCAGAAATGAACTCGGGGTTAACAGAAGATATATCTAATATGTAATACCTTCCTATGCACGGTGCCAAATCATTAGTTTATGGCAACCTTTCCTCTGCTTTTAGTGTGTGTTAACTTTTGCAGTGAGCAGATGCAGCCACGCACATTCTGTTCGGCAGAAGGCAGATGCCAGTCCCTGAAATGGGCGCCCAGTTCCAAGGGCAACATCTGGATCCCTGGGCTTGGCTCTGTTCCTGTCTGTGCTTGTGGCTATACAATGCCCCCTGGAGACATTTTATGATTAGTCTGCGACAGAGTTGGCATGAGTGTCTTGTCTCCCTGGCAACCATTTTCCCTTTGATTCTTATACATCTGCTCAGCAATATACTGTATTTGGGAAACTGCTCCCTACCTTATTTCCAATCACAAAGCCAATGACAGAGGACTTTTGCTGAATGGGATATCATTTTCCCCGGCGTCTGAAGCTATTGTTTTCCAGTGTGCTCATAACTGCATCAAACTGCAGAGTACATCTTCTCTGCAAGGCCACTAAGTTTAGGACAAGCATTAGATTCTAATGAATACTCAGAGGCACCTCTTGAATAAGTGAGGAGTTTTCAGAAGCTAAGTGGGAGCTAAGTGGTTAGAGCAGCCTGGCCAGCCTTGTTTCTTGGCTAAGAAGAACCTGGTTGGATGAATCTGTATTTTTCACTTAAAACAAATTATTAATACAATTTTTGATTGACAAAGCATAATTGTATATGTTTCTGGGGTATGATGTGATGTTTTGATATATGTATACAATGTAGCATGATTAAATCAAGCTAATTTACCTGTCTATCACCTTGCTTACCTATCATTTTTTAAGTTGAGACATTTAAAACTTATTCTCTTTGTTGTTTTGAGATATATAATACATTATTGTTGACTGTATTCCTCACTGTCTCTCTCTTGCTCTTTTTTATTGTCAGATCCTTACTTACGGAAGTAAGAACTCAGACTTCCCTTATCTGAAAGAGCATTAGGCTATACCTTTATTTACTCCCTCCCAGCAAAAGGCTATTGTTAACAGGTATCCCTCAGGTTGCCCTTTTGTCTGTAGAGAAACAAGTGTGAGATTGAGGCATGTGTCAACACTGAGTCAGTTATTAGCCATATCGCAGGTGAAACTGGAGAACAGATTAGAAGAAAAATGAACTCTTATCCCCAGCCCATCCTGTATGTTTCCATTAATAAGTGTTTTGAATTATGTGCAGAAAGAAAGGAGTAAAAATTTCAGAATAATATCCTGTGACCTGGAGTTTACAGAAGATAATTTTAAAAATTAACAGCTACCTGTTAGTCTAAGAGTGTATTTCCATTTTACAGATGAAAAAATTGAGGCTCAAAGAAGTCCACCAAATTGAGAGTGAAGTAGGGGAAACAGCATTTAACGCTTACATTCTAATGATTTGTGTAAGAGCAGCAGGACAAGCTATACAAAGGTAAGACAATTCATCTAACAACGAGGCCATGGAGAGAGTTGTCAAGGAAGACAGCCTTCAGTAATTACCTTACCATCACTCTTTTCTAGAAAAAGGTGGAATTATCAGGATGGAATTAAAGATGCTTCCAAACAGAGGGGATATCTCAAGCCATGACTCAGAGGTAAGAGTAAGAGACTATGATGTGCACAGGAGCTGTTTAAAAAGTTCACTCACCTCTACTCATTCATAGAGACACATTTCAAATACCACCTCCTATCAGAAGCCCCCATAAATTATCACCATAACATTCTCTCCATTCCTCCTTGAGGGAGGTAAAATGTAACAATTATCAGATAAAAAGATCTTTAGGAACCTAAAACTCAAAAGATAGTTCATTTTAGGAATGAAAATGGGTCTGCAGCCTGTGTGAACCCATAAATCATGGTATTATAGGACCAGTGCTCTTCCTGCCAACATTTTCCCTAACTGCCAGCTTGTGGGTGCCAAGCACTCTCTTGCATTATAGGATTTAACACAGGACCTGACTTAATATAGCAATGTTTTCTTATCATGTCTCATCATTTCTTCTTTCTTCTGGATACACCAACGTTTTGTCCTCCTTTTTTTTTTTTCTGTTGTAAATGGGAAAAAGCTTGAAAAAGACTCGATGGCTATCATTTCAATACATAGAATAAATAGTTCCATTCAATTTATTTCAATTGAATAGACAGATCCATTCAGTCTACAATACTGAAGGATCCAGATTAATCACCTCCCAAAATTGACTGGAATAAATAGAGATAAATAAAAACCAAATACAGATATGAGTTCAAATTCTAAAGAGTGCCTACTGTAACTACAGGTCCAAAAGCTAATACTAGAAGTCCCTGTTTCTTTATTATTAACTGGGTGATCCTTAGTTATTCAACCATGTGACCTGAGTAACTTTTAAGTTCCTCATCTCTAAAATGGATATTTATGAATAAGAGCACCACTGCATCAAATTGCTGTGAGAATTAAAACAATTTATAAATAATACTTGGGCAGAGCCTGACTAATAGTAATATAGTAATTATAAGCATTGAGGTTGGTAAGGTTTACAGGAGTCTGAAACAGACATTAACATGAAAGAAGATTCTTGAAAAGTGAACTTGGGATCCACATCTATAGCAAAAGCAAAGAGATAAGATTGGGCAGAGTGAGAAGTTAGGACGAGAAGAGGTCACAGCAAGGTTTCTGCCCACCCCTCCAAGAACCCTGGAGCTCAGAAGACCCCTCTGAATGGTCCTGAATTAGGGTGAAGGTCTTTCCTTTCAGTGAGGCAGCTTTCTTGAGCAGAAAGCAATACCTAGAGAGGACCACTCTAAGCAGCTGTGAGAGTAACTTCCTTCAGTCATGAAGGTCAATCTGGAAGGCACAGTAAATTATTACTAAAACATTTAGTAATTATTGTGTATTAGTATGACTTTTATGTTTTTTTTTTTTTTTTGGTTGTTAATCTTGAAACATTTTCTTCCATTTTTCAGTTCCTTACACAAATAATTAACCCTTAGGGAGCCCCAGGCAATAGTGCAAACAGCAGGCCGTGTATCATATGTTTAATTATGTAAGAGGTACAAAGTAAACTACTAGACAGTTAAATACATATATGTGCTGTGTCTTATGAAAGATACACCTTTATAATGACTTAGGAGGCTAAGTAGGAATTAAAGACTTTTAGACCCCTTGGAAATCTGTTTTGGTACATGGTGGTGTGAGAAGAGTTAGTTCCCAGGCTCCAGACCACTACCTGGCCTCTTTCCCACCCCAACTCTGTGCTTTTGCTTCATCCTACACCACAAAGTGCTCACATGGATGTGTACGGAACCCCAGCTTGCATTCCCAAGTACTGTCCATGACTCCCACAAACAGCTACCCCTTTGCTGTCCATCAGGGAAGCCATGCATACATTGATGATATCAGTAATCCGCAGAAGGGCAGACTTGCGCAGGAGGCATGCAGAGGATCTCAATGCAAGCTTGGGACCCTTAGGGAAAAGAATTAAGGTGATTCAGCTACCTGGAGCAAGATCCAGAAAGGGGAGGGACCTTCAAGTGGGCTTGTCCCCTTGGCTCTGGATATACCTTATTCTGTTGAGAGGGGTACAGCTGGAGGAACAGTGTAAAGTTCAGGTAAGGTGGACTAGTCTTGGTTAGTCCATAACTAACCCATAACTAAAGGGTTCCCCAAATGTGAAAATTGTAGTGCTAAAACCAGTGAAGTCCTAGCCAAACTGGAACAAGTTAGTCATCCTTATAGGACCTGATGCTAGGTCCCCCTTACTCTGGTCTAAGAGCTGTACTATCCTGTGATAAAATAAAAAATATATATTTATATATTGTCTGTGCCCCCATTTCCTGGCACTTATCTCCTAAAACCACTAGCATCTCCAAAGTGATGTATCTTTTTGCTTACTAATGAGATGACTGGTGACTGGAAGCTCCTGAATAGTCTCAGGGTGAGGGCTGATTTCTGGGAGAATCAACCATGTGATTAGAGAGTTGGAGCATTTAGCCCCACCCCTGACCTCCAGGGAGGGTACAGGGGCTCAAGATTGAGTTGATTACCAATAGCCAATGATTTAGTGAATCCTGACTGTGTAATCAAACTTCCACAAAAATTCAAAAGGATGGGTTTTAGAGGGCTTCTTGGTTGGTGAATACATGGAGGTCCTGGCAAAGTGGCATGCCTGGAAAGAGCATGGAAACTCCACACCCCTTCTTGTATACCTTGCCCTCTGCATTTCTTCCATCTGGCTGTCCCTGATTGTGTCTATAAGTTTATATAATAAATTGGTAATCTTGCAAGTAAATCATTTTTTGGAGTTCTGTGAGCTATTCAAGCCAATAATTCAACCTGAGTGGAGGCGGTGGGAACCTCTGATTTACAGCGCAAGTGACAACTGAACTTGCAATTGGCATCTGCAATTGGGCCAGTCTTCTGGGACTGAGGCCTTAGCTGATAGTGTGAAATCTGACACTATCTCCAGGTAGTTGCAGCTGAGCTAAATTGTAGGGCACCCAGTTGGTGTCTGCAGAGAATTTGAGAATTGCTTGGTATGGGAAAAACCTACAAATTAGGTGTCAGAAGTGAAGAGAGTGACGTCAATATAAAAGGAAAAACAGCTTTTCTCCTTTCATATCCTCACACATCTCTATTTCTTCTTGTCCAGGATATATGCACATGCTGTTCTTTCTCTGGAAGGCTGGGGCCTCCCTCTACCCTTTCTATGTATCTAGTTAAGCCTTTCATACTCTTCAGATCTCAGCTCACTTGTCTTTTCTTCAGGGAAAACTTGCCAGATCTTCTTAAAAGGGTGATTTAATTTAGTTTGATGTTCTTACAGCAATATGTGCCACCCCATCTATAGCTCTCATCACGGCAGCAAATTTACATGCGTTTCCTACAGCAGATAAGCGTTTGTCCTTAGTATTCCACACATCTTGCTACACCAGCTACTTTGTTGAGCACAGTTGCTCATTCTCAAGTGCTCAGCAGTAGGCAGATTCTTCTTATTTTAGAGCACAATCTTATTATGGAATGAAGGCGATCATAGAAAGGGCCATAATTTCTTCTGGGGGCTCTGACTGGATTGCTCATTAAATGCTTGGAGAGAGAAAACCTTTCAGAGAAATTATCCTTTCACTGTGTGACTGAATGGAGTTTGAACAATTTCCTGGGGTACAATGCATTATCTCTTCCCGATTTTGTGGCAAATTCTTCTTAAGCATGTGGGGTGTCAACTCCAAGTAATTAATTAATTAATTGGCAAACACTGATTGAACCTGCATAGTACCCTGCCTCTCCAAATAAATACTATCATTTAAGTTAGCAAATAGAGCTGTAATGAGAGTTAAATGAAGTAATGAGGCAAATACCCCTCATTTGGGATAGTGTGTTCAGGGAAGGCATCTCCAAGGAAGTAACATTGGTTCTGACATCTGTGAAGACAGAAGAAATGAGCCATTCAGCTGTCAGGGAGAAGGGTACCTCAAGCAGAAGACATAGCAATGGTAAAGACTGTGAGACAGGAATGATCTTGCAGGTGAAAGAGTAGTTCAGCTGGGATCCTTGCACAAAGAGAATAGCAAGGTTGATGGACAGCCATGTGGAGCCCAGAAAGTACAACACCTTTGATGACAGAGAAGCATGGCAAGTGACTGCCCCTATCCTCACTACATCTGAGGGCATAGTATGTGAGGTCTCACTGTAGAACATCTGGGACTTGACAATGGCAAGTTTACAAGATGAAAGAGGGCACCTAACTCAAATGTCCAAGGAAAGACACCAGGTGATGGAGGGGACTATGAGATAAAGAAGGTTGTGAAATGAGAAGAGAGGAACAAGGAAATAGAAAATGCTCAATAAATGGTTGCTCTTATTGTTAAAAAGACAGGCAATCTGCTAAAATCTTTGAAATAATAAATGACCCAACTATTTTCCTTCTATGTATAATGGGGCTAGTAATGCATTCTTTCTAATAGAGTAGTGAGTTTATACATTGATATGGTTTGGCTGTGTCCCCACTCAAATCTCACCTTGAATTTTAATAATCCCCACATGTCAAGGGAAGAGCCAGGCATAGATAATTAAATCTTGGGGAGGTTTCCTTATACTGTTCTTGTGGTAGGAAATAAGTGTCATGAGATTTGATTGTGTTAAAATGGGAGCTCTCCTGCACAAGCTCTCTTAGGCTGCTGCCATGTAAGATGTGACTTTGCTCCTCCTTCACCTTCTGCTATGATTGTGAGGCCTCCCTAACCATGTGGAACTGTGGGTCAATTAAAACTCTTTCCTTTATAAATTACCCAGTCTTGGGTATATCTATATGAGCAGTGTGAGAATGGACTAATACACACATACTAAATAGTTTCTCCCAGTTTATGCAATTAGTAAATGACTGAGGCAAGATATGCAATAAGTGTTCCAAGTCCAGAGCCTCCAGACTCATAATCAATTATAGCATACAACCTGGCTTAATGAGGCACGAAGGGGGTGGTGGAAATGAATGCTGGCAAAGGCTGGAGGATGTCTGCAACATACCTTTTGTGAGTGAGAATATTTAAAAATATAATGCAGATGCTTCTCAACTAACGATGAAGTTATGTCCAGATAAACCCATCTAAATTGAAAAGATCCTATGGTGAAAAATGCATTTAAGACACCTAAACTACCAAACATCATAGCTTAGCCTAGCCTACTTAAAACATGTTCAGAACATTTACATTGGCCTACAGTTGAGTAACATCATGTAATATAAAGTGGAGTTTGGCTGGGCGCAGTGGCTCATGGCTGTAAACCCAGCACTTTGGGAGGCCGAGGCCGGCGGATCACGAGGTCAGGAGATTGAGACCATCCTGGCTAAGACGGTGAAACCCTGTCTCTACTAAAAATACAAAAAAAAAAAAAAAAAAAAAAAAAATTAGCCGGGTGTGGTGGTGGGCACCTGTAGTCCCAGCTACTTGGGAGGCTGAAGCAGGAGAATGGCATGAGCCCGGGAAGTGGAGCTTGCAGTGAGCTGAGATCGCACCACTGCACTCCATGCTGGGTGACAGAGCGAGACTTCGTCTCAAAAAAAAAAAAGTGGATTTATTTTATAATAAAGTGTTGAATATCTTGTGTAATTTATTGACTACTGAACCTTGTATGAGTACTCAAAGTGAGGTTGCTACTAAATGTGTATCACCTTCAAATCATCATAAAACAGGAAAATAATATGTCAAACCATCCTAAGTCCAGAGATTGTCTGTACTAAATAATTTTATCATGAAAATGTTTTCTTAAAAATATAAAATAATCTTAATTTAAAACAAATCATTAGAGAGAAATTTTTATTAAATCCCAATACTTACAGATAAGTTCTGTGAACATTTTGATATATTGTGGTCCATTGTCTTTCTGTACATATTTTTATGTACATATGTCTTTCTGTACATATTTTACATACATATATACATAAAATAACATGTCTAAGTTTTACCATACGCCTCTGCTTAACATGATCCTATGGCATTAAATATGCTTTGACAATATTATTGTATTGTCTGCATAATACTTTACGTTAGATACCATAATTTATTTTATTCTTCCCCTTTTTCAATCATTTAGTTTTTAATTTATTATTATTACAACCAATGCCTCAATGAATAGCCGTATGTGTCATTAAAAGTATAGTCAATGATTTATTTGTTTTCTCTACACTGATAGAGCTGAAATCACTGTGAAATTATTTAACTATTGCTTCTCATGTAGACAGAATTAAGAATACCTGAAATGCAGTCTGGGGTTTCCTTTGGAAGCATGTAGATATTTAGATACCTTATAATATGCACATTTAATTTTTAATGGGTATGTAATATATTCATTGACTTCTTTTCTTATTATGTTCTTTTGTACACTATTTATCTCCTAGCTTGTGATAAGAGCTCAGTAATTATTTGTTGAATGAGAGTTTGAATGCAATTCCTGGTCAAAGTATGTAAATAAGTTTAAGAGAACAAGTCTTGAAAGGGATCAGAATAGTGCAAACGTCAGGACTTTCACAAGGTAGAAACTTAGTCCAGCTTTAGCTTTTATGCTTTGGCTAAAAAGGAGGCCATGTGTGCATGCACTGTAAAACAGAAAACATCCCTAATTGCCTTGTGTTCAGACAGTCCTGGGGTGCACTCATTTCCTGATATTCACCAGAACACCAATCTTCACTTAACACAGTTAATGATATAATTTTTATTTTTAAAAGGGAGTGCTGATGTTGCTACCAGCTTCAGAAGATGTTTCAAATCTGGTTGTGGAGTCATTCTATTTCCAATTAAGCAGTGGGGGGATTCAATTACAAGCTGTGGGAAGCGAAGAGTTTGTGTCAATAAACCAGCAGTGGTATTAAGGGTGGTTGTCTGGTTTGCAAACATTAACAGCTTGAATCCTAAAGGCGTATGCTTGTGAAATTATCTAACTATTGCTTCTCATGTAGACAGGATTAAGAATACCTGAAATCTAGCCTGGGGTTTCCTTTGGAAGCATTTTCTCTCCTTGAACTCACAGGGAATTTGGGCATTAAAGTAGCGTATTAAAGGACTCAGTGGGAGCTCGTTAACAAGGTTAAAGCCATTACAAAAAAAAGTGTCAGAAAAGTATTCCGAAGAAGGCAAAATAATTTGTTGCAAGATCTGGTTAGAAATGAAAAGGGTAAGATTCACTTAAAAATTATAATTTTGGGAGGTCATAGGGCTTTGGAAAAAAATATAAACACACACATGCACCATACACACACTCACAAACACACACGCACCACACAAAACAGGAAACTGAAGTCTTAAAAGGTGAAGGCAATACCCAAGGCCTGTCAACTAACTAGCAGATATGAAGTGTCTACTATGTGTCGGGTGGTCTGCTAAGAGTCAGATATATAAATGGAATAATAAGTGTTAGTATCTTTCCTTAAGAAATTTATAGCCCAGCTACAATTTATTATTTTTTTCTTTGGTTTTATTGACTAACCTAAACTGTGCTGAGCCCTTTGCCAAACAAGTTAATCTTCCAAATATTTTTAAATTGTTTATTGTCAGCTTTTCCGTTGCCTCCTCTTATTATCTTTCCTATTTGGCAATACAATTTTAATTTTTTTAATCATTGGCTTTGAAAAAAACTTTGCTAATAGGACTGGTTCAGAGTATTTAGCCTTCATGTCATCCCCTTTCGAAAGAAAATTTCTCAATTGGATTGGAAAATTTAATTCCTTGCCTGTATGTTTTCCAAAACAAGGACTATTTCCATTTACTTTCCTGTGAAGCTGAATATAATTCCAGTTTCTCACAATTTGCTACTCACTGTTCTCCTGGGGAAATGAATGATTCATCTGACTTGTGTCTTTGGGAGAGGGAATCAAGCATGTCCAACTCAGATATTTTCTCTTCTGCTCTGCTCATATTTGGGGTGAGCCAGGCATATGGTCAGAGCAGACTGTTATCGTCTGGCTTTAAGTTTGGATTCAGGAGTAAAATGGTAGCATGCCCATTTGGTCACAGACTTAAAACCACATTTCTAATCTCCTTTTTTGGAAGCAAAAGTTTAGGTTTTGACTTCCATTATTCTAACTCTTGGTCTCTCAATTGATTCTAGACTTAAAGAGAGGGAGAAAGAGGATTTTATTGGACAGGATGAGGGTCCTGAACCACAGTACATATATATGGCTTATGAGCACTGTAAAGAAGCTAGATTTTACTACCTAATGTAACTGTTTTCCAGACAGAAAGAATCATCTTCACTAAATGGCCTCAAAAGACAATGTTTTCCTGGTAAGACAAGAGATTAAAGGAATGAATAGACTCTTGGTTCACTCTCTCTATCTTACTGTCTCTCTTTCTATCTTTCTTTCTCTCTCTCTCTCTCTTTCAAAAGATACGGAATTAGTCGGAGGAAAGAAAGTGAGGAAAAAATGCACAAAGTAAATTTTCAGGATTTCAAAACCTTAATCCTGTAAGCAAATAGAGAATGGAAGTTGTCCTGGGGAGCTTCAGATAACGAAGTATGAAAGAACGGTAGAGGTTTACTTTTCTCCTCCACCTTCCTCCTCCTCCTCCTCCTCTTTCTCCTTCTTCTTCTTCTTCCTCTTCTTGTTTTTCTCCTTCCTCTTTTTCATTTACTTTAATTTTACATTCCAGGATACACATGCAGGATGTGCAGGTTTGTTACATAGGTAAATGTGTGCCACGGTGGTTAGCTGCACCTATCAACCCATCACCTGGGTATGCAACCCTGCATGCATTAGCTGCTTATCCTGATGCTCTCCCTCTCGCTGCCCCAACCACAGACCCCAGTGTGTGTCATTCCCCTCCCTATGTCCATGTGTTCTCATTGTTCAGCTCTCTCTTTTGAGTGAGAGCATGTGGTCTTTGGTTTTCTGTCTCTGTGTAAGTTTGCTGAGGATCTTCTCCTTCTCCTTAGCCTTTTCCTTCTCTTTCTCCTTCTCCTCCTCCTCTTCTTCCTCCTCCTCCACCTCCCTTTTTCTCCTTCCTTCCTTCCTGCTTCTTCCTTCTGGATCTTTTATCATTTGAAATGGGAGCATAGGACGGGATGGTCTTGATGTATTGAAATTCTATCAACGTCATTTTTCCCCAAATATGTATTTGCTGCTTTATAGATCAGAAGACAGTTTATCTTTAAAATAAACTGTTATTTTTCCAGGATGGAATTTGGAACTTTGTGTGTGTGTATGTGTGTGTGTGAGTGTGTATGTATGCCGTGATGTGTTTGTGTGTACAAGCAAAAGTACACACAGGTTCAGGCATGTGAGAACAAGCGAAAGCAGTTAAGAAAAGGGGTAGAAAAGAACCAAGAAAATTGCCCTCCCATCCTCTTCTCCTTTTTTTTTTTTTTTTTTTTTTTGTGAGATGGAGTCTTGTCGCCTAGGCTGGAGTGTGGAGCACAGTGGCGCCATCTCGGCTCACTGCAACCTCCTCCTTCTGGGTTCAAGCCATTCTCCTGTCTTAGCCTCCTGAGTAGTTGGGACTACAGGCATGCACCACCATGCCCAGCTAATTTTTTTGTATTTTTAGTAGAGATGGGGTTTCTCCACCTTGGCCAGGCTGGTCTTGAACTCCTGACCTCAGGTGATCTGCCTGCCTCAGCCTCCCAAAGTGCTGGGATTACAGGCTTGAGCCACCATGCCCAACTCTCTTCTCCTTTTTCCACAAGGAAAAGGCTAATTATCTGGGATTAATTCTATATGGGATTGTGGTGGCCTGAATAATGGCTCCCTAAAGGATGTCTGAACTCTAATCCCTGAAACTTCTTAATATGATTTGGCAGATGTAAATAAGTTAAGGATCTTGAGAAAGGGTGAGTGTGCTGGATTATCTTTGTGGGCCCAGTGAAATCATAAAGGCCTTGCAAGAAGGAGGCATGAGGGTTGGAGTCAGAAGAGATGAGGGATGGAAGCCAAGGTGAGACTGGTGCTGGGATATGAGCAAAGGAATGTTGACAACCCTTAGAAGCTGGAAAAGACAAGGCAACGAATTCTGTCCTGAAGTCTCCACAAGAAATGAGCCTTGATAACCCATTTCAGATGTCTGAGCTCCAGAACTATGAAATAATAAATGTGTGTTGTTTTAAGCCATGAAATTTGTGGTAATTTGTTACAGCAGGAATAGTAAACTCATACAGGGAAGATTAATGACTAAATGGTATATTATCAATGTTATACAGTTATTCTGATTTTCACATATTTGTGAAGAACGAGGTATACGCCTCCTTTTTGTACATGTGCAACAATTCCTATGATGAGTGCATTACAAAAAACACGTGGGCTTATTGCCATTATTTTTCTTCCTACTGGGAGATTTGTAGGTGTATTTCAAACCTTTCACATCTGGATTTACAGGAGTATTCAAAGCTTTGAAAGTCCGTGAAGGCAGTGGATAGTCAATATATGCTTCCTCCGGGAAAACTGGTGAGAAATCGGAAAAGGGAATTAACCCCTTACATCCTTTTAGTGAAGTATTATTTAGTGAAGTATTATTATGAAAAGTCTCTTAAACATAAAATGCCATACATGTGGCCTGGACCTAGGCTTAGGGAGAATGGAAGGTAGGTGTGATGTGAACAGTTCTGAGAGCCTGACAGCAAATGCGGAGGATTTATTAACAGATGAAAAGCCCATTAAATATCATAGAGCCATTCTTCTCTAAGCCGTTCAGTTTACTTCTTACATAAGGAAATATGTTTCATAGCTTATTCAGGAAATAATTGGATTTTAAAAACCCTAAAATTAATTATAATATAAAATTATTGCATTTTCCTTAAACAAAATAGAGTAGTAAAATTTTGAGTGTCTTAACTAAAGCCATCTTTTTTTCATATAAACTTCCATTTCAAAGAAGTTCAGATTTTAATAGTTCTTAAAAGTCTCTCTTTTAAAGAACCCTAAACTTTACTATTATAGTTAAAATTGGATTATAAAATCAATCTAATATAAATTGAATCATTAATTAAGTCAATTTTAAAAGAAATAATTTAATTTCATTAAGGAATTGTTATACTGATATTACAAAGTGAATGGATTCCTGTAATTAAAAAGCATTGAATTCCATATGACCATTTATCTTTTCTCCTCTTTTAGCCATTTTGGTGAATTTCTAAAACAGAATTTAATTAAATGCTGAAACAAAGACATAATTCAAAATTAAAATTCTATGGAAGAACTCACTTGCAAATCACCAAAAGAGTTTTCCTTCGATATTTCAAGGGACCATAGCAAAGTGAAATATATATAAAGTTATTAGAATGTATATAACAGAATCACAGGTATTAAAGTGATATTCATTATCCATGTGATCTCCCACCAAGTAAAGAACCATTTTCTAAATGTCTTAAATGAACATTTAGTAGGTGATTGACATTTTCCTGGAATTCAGACCCAGATTCAAAAGTATGTTTTCCAGCATTAGATTTGGTGTTATACAAATCTTACTGAAAATAAACTGGAGTTTTGTAAGATTATAATTTTGAGGAAAGAGTTGTTAGGGACAGGCAGACCTGACCTTGGCCTTCATCAGTGGTAGTGAGCTTTGTCAAATCATTAACCTCACTGAGGCTTAGTTTCTGCATTTATAAATGAAGTAACATGTCTCACATTGAGTTGTTACAAGGATTACATGTAATATCACTTGTCAACTCTCCACTGCAGGCCGTGGGACATGGAGACAATCAGTGAATATTTATGCTTTCCCCGTTTTGCCTTATAAGACTACAGAATTGTAGCAGAGAAGGGGTATTGGACCTCTGTTGTATGGTATATGCTAGTGGGAGAGACTTTTTTTCTATCTTTGCTTCAAACTTGTGCACTGTGATTTCTATTATGTAATTTAAGTGGACATCTTTTAGATAAAATAAGCCTATAATAAAATGGCTTTGATGGCAGATGTACAAACTATAAAAATGAATACACATATGCATGTGAAGTAATACTTTTATTATTCTACTGTTCTACAAATAAGTTTTGCCTTATGCTATTTTCCCAGCTTCTCATTGCCTTCATGGATATATTCATTTGAATGACTGTCGTCAGAGATTTCATCCACAGACCTGCATTTTTAAAGAGGATTTGACTGGGCCTCCTGTTTTTTCTCTCTCTAATCATTTGGGCCACAGCAGCTAATTGCAGTGTCTAATTGTATCCTCAGTTGGCTGCTTGCACCCACAATTAACTAAATATAAGCACCAGCATCTTGGTACATTCAATTTTATGCCTCAAAGGGAGCTGTGTGAGAGGGCAGTTGGCAGTTGGCTATCTTCAGGAAAACAACTTCTCAGACTTGGAAGTGTAGGTCTAATTTTAAAGCTTCCAAATATTTTCTAGTTGGCACAGTCTTGGCACTGTCCATAAACCTAGTGACTATCTTAGCTACACTTTCAAGAACATAAAATCCAGATGAGTTGCAGACAGGCCACAGTTTAAGAAAAATGTCAGTAGAGGCATGAGCTCACATCTGATCACAACCATTCTTCTACTATGCTTGAGCAGCTCGTGGAATAAATGTCCTGACAAGTATGTGTGCAGCTATGGTGGACTGGGACAGAAGAACTGGAGCCTTCATGTATTTTGATCCCATGTCAGGTATATTTGTCCTTCTTCAGCAATTTGAAAAGCCTCTTTGAGGAGTTAGTTGCAATGGTGCATTTGAAATGCAGGCACTCCTCTAAAGCAGGTGTCTCAAAAACTGACTTGGAGTCAACTTAAATCCCACTCTGGAAATCAGGCTGGAAACATCATGAGGATGGAAGCCTGTCACAGCCTAGGCTTGAACTTCCAAATTAGCTCACATCTTCGACAGATGTGCCAAAGAGAATACTAGCTGATCCACCCCTTAAGGGAGAAATTAAAACTCAGTGTTTTGCAGTGGTTGCTCAGTAATCACTAGAATGTTGCTGTCAAAGCAAATCAAGAGGCTGTAGAAGTCTCTATTTCTAGATAAGTAACAAAACAAAGTTTTCTCATGCAAGTACCCAGAAATAAACAGATTGGATAGCCAGAAAAAAAAGAAGAAAGAGTAATGTATGTGGAATAAATTTCTAGTCTTTGTTTTCATCTCAGAATTTTAGTCTAAGCCTAATACGTCACCACTATTTCCAACATAGTCATTGCTTAACAGTTTCAGTGGTTGCCTTCACTGTCTCATGTGATGTGGGAATTCTGACTTGGAGGTGAACTAATCCCAGACTAGGATCAAGTCTGTGACTTCTCATTTCCAATGCAGATTAGTGTTTCCACAGTATAAGGCATGCTTGAACAATTAGGTAAATTTGAGCTGAGCAGATCCTAAAATCCATTCAGCTACATGAACCATATGTTCAATACGATATTTCAGCTATTTATTCTTCTAGTGCATTGAGCTTTCATGACCACCTTGTTACAAACCAGCCTTTATATATGTCTCTTGATTATTTATTGATAAGATTTATCTCAATGATTTATTGATAAGATGAGATTCTCTATATATAATTGCCATATATATGTGGTAAATATATATATATATACACACACACACACACACACACACACACACACACACACCATATATACATATATATATACCAGCTGAGGGGTAACAGACATTGTTTGGTAAAATAAAATATATTGATAAATATGTCCAGGGTTACTAGGCAGCATAAATGTACATAAAAATTTGAAGATTAAGAATGCAAAAGAGATAAAAAGATACATTTGCTCTTCTAGCGTGTGGGTGTTAGGGGTAAGGGGGCAACATGAAGACAGAAGAAAAAGGGGGGTTAACCAGGGGACTATATAAGTGCAACCCTTATTGGTGGGATTTTGGCAAGGTTGTTTCAAAATAGAAATGTCTAAGATGAAATTTTAATTTAGTTTGGGTGTGCAAAATACAATGATACTTCAGTAAGATCTACTCTATATATGGAAAAATACGTAAGTGAATTGTGTGTTGAAACTATAGAAAGGGCTGGGCTTTGGGCTTTTTCTGCAGAACATGTTTAGAAGTAGGGACTCAGACACAGATATGTCTATGGGAAAATAAGTTCCTGGGTACTTACCTTAATGAAGGGAAGGTCTTAGACTTCTCTGCTTCATGAACATACATGTTCCAGATAACCTCACACAGAAATCAAGGAGTCATGGTTTTCCCAGCTAACATCTAAGGTCCATTCTGACGAGGACTAATAATTCCGGTTCCACTAGGAACACAGAAACGTTTAGGAAAATAAGGCATTCCCATAAGATGCCCCCATTCTAGCAAGGAAGGTCGCTATGGTCAAATGTTAATAATACTATGTAATTTAGTCAGGAATGTGCACGACTTGCTCTGGCAATAAAGAGAAAGCTCAAACTTGAGACTAGTTCCTGGGAGGCTCAGAGACTCCCTGACACAGACCAATTCTGCAGCATGAGTTCAGAGGACAGAGCCTGCCCTAGCCTGCCCTATCATAGGAGCCTTACGTTCTGGGAGATATTATGCCAGTCTTAGATACATTAGGGCTACTGGGAATCCTAAAAAAATCAGCAATTTCCTACCCTATCCAGGACCCCTTTGAACAGCCGTCTTTTGATGCCTATCTCTTATCCCATTGGATCTTCACACTGGAACTTTTCTAGGTAGGCTCTGAGAAATCTGAGGTAAAAGTCTGTTATTTTCAAGATTGTGGAGTTTTAAAGAGTTTAGAAAGTTCAAAGGAGGTTTTCATGGCAATTTACAATTCTGAGCACTTTATCAGATACGTGTGGGGATCGCAAATCCATCAGTAAAGGAACAGCCTAAACAGTCCTCCTTTACTTTTATGAGCAGCAGCCCTGCCATGACAAGTGATTTTCTTTTTCCTTCTATGGGAAAAAATGCTCCGCCTTTACCAGTAAGCAGGTGGCTGTCATTTTCTTTTTTTTTTTGGCATAATTTAAAGTCCTTTAAATGCTTATTTTTAATTTTAATAATTTTGGAGGTGTTCACTTGTGCATTAAAATTCAGGAAGCTGGCTTAGCCCTCGGCTTACCTTCAGGGCAAAACTGTGCGCAAGACATGCTTCTATGAGATAATTTGTTTCCTAATTGGCATCCGTTTGCTGAAATACAATTAAAGTTATTGCTCTAATATTAACATCAACATCTTGATTGCTCTATAAAGCATGAATATTTATAAATTTTTTTCTTCCATGGAAGATATCTCTTAGGCATTTACTTTTTGGTGTTGTCAGTTTCATATTTATTAAGAAGTTTTCATAAGGAGGATATAAGAAGGGTCTGGGTCACTTGCTGAGATTTAATACACAGCAGGGTTAGGCCATTTAGACGCTAAAGAGCTGTGTAAAGCATCATTTCTAAGAAAATGTGTTTGGATTCTGGAGCTCAGTTGACTTGAAAACCTGAGAACTAAATCATCTATGCTACCTACTTTTTACACTATTATGAGGATCATGTGAGCTAGATGAATTTAATGCCCCTAATTGGGGAAAAAAAAAAAAAGTACCTTGTATTTGCACAGCCCTTTAAGATTTATAGTAGGCTTTGCACCTCTCAAGTGTGACTATCTGGAAGACATGATATTTCACTACTAAGTTTTTGGGGGGTTTTTTGGAGACAGGATCTTGCTCTTGCCCAAGCTGGAGTGCAGTGGTGCAATCATGGCTCACTGCAGCTTCACCTCCCCAGCTCAAGAGACCCTCCCACCTCAGCCTCCTGAGTAGGTGGGACTATAGGCGTGTACCACCAAGCCTGTAGCTGGAACTACAGGAAGGCATACACCACCAAACCGGCTATTTATTTATTTATTTATTGTAGAGACAGCCTTCCTATGTTACTCAGGCTGGTCTTGAACTCCTGGGCTCAAGCAATCCTCCCATCTCAGCTTCCCAAAGTGCTGAGATTAAAGTCATAAGCCATGTGGCACCCAGACTCATTACTAAGTTCTTGGTGGGACCCATTGCAGGTTTATTGTTGTTATTTTGTTTTGAGAATGAACTGAAAATTTTATAATTATTTATAAATTATAAATATGAGAATGTAAAGACATAATTCTAGATATATTCAGAATTAAATGATTACTGTTCATCAATTAAAATGTTTAGATTACATTTTTTTACCCACTAAACTCTTAAAGTATCTTTCAAATTTGAAAAGTAATATAGGGTATCATACATGTTATACATATCAAGTTGTAAGAAAAAGCAAGTATTAAAAAATAAAAGCACCTTTTCATGTTCGAATATTCAATTGACCTCTTCAGATACAACTGTAATTAAGAGTTCCTTTGTTCTTGTCCCTTTCTCTTTCTCTTTCTTTCCTAAGTTATTCTCTAAAATTACCAGTTGGACCAAGCAAGATGGGAATTTTAATGGGGTAAGAAGTTCTTCAAAACTTCAACGCACTTGTCAGATCCAGAGCAAAATGAAGAAGGAATCTGTGCAAGGGGTAGGGGGGATTTTAAATATTTAAGTCCAAGTAGAAGAGTAGCAGGGTGTCTACCTACTGACAGAAGAGGGCAGGGAGGGTAGGAGCCCTGTGATGTGATGAGGGAGGGTATCCACCATTCACATAAGTGACAGGGAGACCAAAGGAGAGACTGTGTACATGTAGAGGATGGATCTGTAAGTCATATGTTAATGATAATGGGAGCCTGGCTTCTCACTGTTGGGTAGTGGTGTTTCACATGAGAAAAGGGAGAAAACTGTCACTAAACTCTGGTATTAAATTAGAAGATGAGATGAGGTAGTGACACGAACATACAGTTCTCAATATGTGGACAGATTATGTAAGATAGAAATATAAATGTGAGATTTGTATGTATGTGTATCAGGGTTCTCTAGAGGGACAGGACTAATGTTCTCTAGAGGGACAGAATAGATGTATATATAAAAGGGAGTTTATTAAGGAGTGTTGACTTACAGGATCACAAGGTGAAGTCCCACAATAGGCCATCTTCAAGCTGAGGAGCAAGGAAGCCAGTCCGAGTCCCAAAACCTCAAAAGCAGGGAAGCCAACAGTGCAGGCTTCAGTCTGTGGCTGAAGGCCTGAGAGCCACTGGCAAACCACTGGTGTAGGTCCAAGAATCCAAAAGCTACAGAACTTGAAGTCCCATGTTCGAGGGCAGGAAGCATCCAGCATGGGAGAAATATGGAGGCCAGAAGACTCAGGCAGTCCAGTCCTTGCACGTTCTTCTGCTTGCTTTTATTCTAGCCATGCTGGCAGCTGATTAGATGGTTCCCACCCAGATTGAGGGTGGGTCTGCCGCTCCCAGTCCACTGACTCAAATGTTAATCCTCTTTGGCAACACCCTCACAGACACACCCAGGAACAATAGTTTGCATCCTTCAATCCAATCAAGTTGACACTCAATATTAGCCATCACAGTATGTGACTGTGTAAAGAAATATATTTTCAGCCCTTCCACTGAAACAGCCTGCCACCTGTGATACCCAATGGCCGAAAACACCCCTAATGCCCAGAGCATGGTTTCTAAATATTGCTTTTGACTAAATGGAATCAAGCCTTCTTGGAGAAATGGCTGATTCCAAGCTGAAGCATAGAAAAGAAAGGCCAAAAAGTATGCCAGAAAATAAAAGTGATGACAGCGTATAAAAATAACACAGATGCCAGTGTAAAGGGGCTCCCACTGGCCAAATCTGGATAAATTTTAGCATCATATTAAATAATAAAAGTAGTAGATTAAAGCCATGGAATAAAAAGAATTTATAAGATCTTAGTGACAAAAATACTTAAAGAAATTAATTGAAAGTTTAATGAGGAATGTAATATTTACATAATCTCATAATACCTCCTCACAAAAAGCACTTATTCTTTATAATGGGAGAACAAGCTGTATACTGGAGAAGGCTGAAAAAAATCCCCTTAAACAACTGATCAAAATCAGCATCACCAGTCATGGACTACATTGAAATTCAGTGCCACCTGAGAGGATGTAATGAGAATGTAGCATTACTACCATAATATGGTTGCCAAACATGCGTCACCTAAATCTAAGAATGAGGCAACATTAGACAAACTTAAATAGAGGGAAAGTCTAAAACATAAGTAGCCTATTATCTCCCAAAGAATCATGATTATGAAAGCCCAGAAAAGACTGTTTTGGATTAATGGAGACTAATAAGGGGATGGCAAATAAATGCAACGAAGGACTCTGGATTGAATACAATTGCTATAAAAGGTACTTATTGGTACAAATGGCAAAACTTGAATAGGAAAGTGGTGAAAACTGAAGTGTCTAAAAAGTAAATGATAATAAAATAGCAAAGTTAATGTTCTGGTTTTTATGGCTTTATTATCTTATGGAGGAGAATGACATTATTGTTAGAAAATAGTTTTGAGCCGGGTGCAGTAGCTCACGCCTGTAATCCCAGCACTTTGGGAGGCTGAGGCGGGTGAATCACGAGGTCAGGAGTTCAAGACCAGCCTGGCAAAGATGGAGAAACCCCATCTCTACTAAAAATACAAAAATTAGCTGGGCGTGGTGGTGGGTGCCTGTAATCCTAGCTACTCAGGAGGCTGAGGCAGAGAATTGCTTGAACCCGGGAGGCGGAGGTTGCAGTGAGCCGAGATCCACCATTACACTCCTGCCTGGGCAATAGAGTAAGACTCCATCTCAAAAAAAAAAAAAAAGTAATTTTTCAAGGCTGGGGGCAATTTGCTCTCAGAGGATTCAAGATAAACTTACTTGTACTGTAAAGTGCTGGGATTACAGACATGAGCCACCGCACCCGGTCCAGGTGTAATATTTTTAATTTCTTCAATTTGTCCTTATGAAAAATGTTGTAAAGACACTTCTGGATCTTAATGTCTCTCTGTTGGACATGGCAACAGTGGGCCAAAATTGTTCTGTAGTTCTCAGAGTATTTGATAGATAGTCCAGGGGAGATACTGATTGTTTAAGAGTAGAGTTAGGCCTCTCACCTCTCTTCCGCACATTGTATGACTAAAAGTTAAGCCAAAGATAAGATTGGCTTTTTATGCCACTGTTTAATCTGAGGGCAATTTTACCAAGTCTTCCCCTAACTCCATTGACCTTACTGTTCACATGCCCTCTCAGATGCCAGCTCATGAACAATCACCTATAAGTGAACTGCCATCCTCTGCAGCTAATAGGTGACTCTTTTATAGCCAAGAAATTCTATATTATCCCTTGAAAAATAAAATAAAATAAAATGAAATTTTCCTTGCCTAACCAGCTTTGGAGACCTGTGACTTTTATAATCCTACTGACAACAGCAAAGACAAGGGAGCAAAGGGAACCGTATAGCAGTGTACAATGGAAATCAATTTACTCATAGTAAAGTAGAGAGAGCACCCAGAGAAATGAAGTCTCGATCAAGGCAGCAAATACAGTTGCAGGATTCTTTTTCTCCTTTCTAAGTAGAGCAGAAGAATAGTGCCATCTGCATAGGCCCAGGATTACCTGTGGAGAGCAGTATCATAATGTATTATTTAAAGTGAGAAAAGATCCTTACAAAAGCCTCAGGACATCAGCAACACTTTCTAGACTAGAGATTTGAGGTTGACTCTTAGAAACAGTGCCAGTGAGGGTGGCATCTGAGTGATGCAACAGCAGGGAGAGGCAGAGCATCAGACAGGTGAGGAAATGTTACCGGGGTAGCAACAATGGGATGTGTCCTACTGAGCCTGTGTGCTTCAATGAAGTTTTAAGGAGAGGAAAAAATCGACGGATGAAGTTTCATCTTGTGACTTTAATTACTATAAGATAAGGAAAGACAACAAGAGCCCTACTTGCACTTATCTTTAGAATACATAAAATTGATTGCGTGTGTAAAATGTTTTCTAAAACCATTTTAGTCTTAGATGAAGGATCTCCTTTTTTCTTCCCTTACAGCCAGAGTATCCAGAAGGAAAACGAAAACAAAAACACAATGGTCTAGTCTTGGTTAATTTGTCCGGGATTGTTTTCAGCCTAACATCATTGCCTCCCTCTTCTACTACATCTCCTTTGCATGTGGGGACAATTGGGTTTCTCATAGAATATCATGTTCAGTTCTTGACACAGCATTTGAACAACATCATTGATAAAGGAAACCAAGTTCTGTAGAGAGAGATGAGAATCATAGGATGACTCCATACAATGTCTGATTGAGAAAAACGGAAGGCATTCTGTTGTTTGATTACACGCTTCACACATATCTGTGCAGCAAAATAGAAAATATTTTAAAATAATTAACAGAGTACATTTGTCTGCCCTCATGTCTATAGCATTACTGAGTGTGGGGACTGTTACCATCTTCAGTAGAAAGACTCTTACCTTCCTTACATATAATAGGGGCTCTGTTAATGTTGGCTAAAATTTTCCTTATTTTCACAGAAAATGGAAGTCCCGTGAAGGTTACTCAACTACTTACACTGATATTTTCTAAAACCATTGATCCTAGCACTAATTTCACTGTTTTGGGATTCCTCTTTTACTTATTGGTCTTCCCCATCATGAGATGATGAGAGTCTTTGAGGGTCATGTGTCATATCTGAATTGCTAACACATTATATTACCTGGCCCATAGCAGCCCCTCAATAAAAGGTTGAATAAATGGATGAATGAGTGAATGAATGATGACCCCCTAATATTTGACCAGAGTCATCAGATGAGTACACTTCGATGTTAAATTTTCAATTTCTTCTTATTGGACTGTTCAGGTTAGGTGCTTTAAGGCTACCAGATAAAAGACTACTTTATCTTCTACTTATATATTTTTTCCTTTTTTTCATCTCTATCCTACAAGAAATTACTCTTTGCTACTCATAATTCCTACTTTTCTTTTATCAAAGAGGAAGTTTGTATGAGAGACATGGCAGAGTCACATATACTATACCAAAGAGATTTCTGGGCCCAATAAAATTTTAGTTGGTCTCCAGATTTTGGAAATTATGGGGTATATGAATGAATTACATCTTTGATGCACTAATTCATTTCACCATTGTCTTTTTTAGATGAACCAGTTTCTCTTCTCCTAGCATTCAACTCTCCAACTTATTTTTCTTTTGAATTAAGACCTTACTTTCTCAATGTAATTATATTTGTCAGTCACTCCAAAGAATGTTTCAAAGATCCCATTGTTAGTTGCTAAAGTAGTCCCCAGAAATATGTGGGATGGCAGCTACAGAACTCGTTTGAAATAGTTGCTGATTATATTCTTTATTTTTTAGTAGCCTCCAATTACATGTGAATTCCAGGGCTAATATTTGCCTTTGCCTACATTTGTGACAATTATGCTTAGAGTTAAGACATCACCACTGTGTTAAATTTAAATCTCATAACTACTACTATCCTGAACAAATAGAGGAGTTCCTCTTTGATTTGGTTTCACTAAATGACCATAAAACAGCTAGGTGTGGTGGCATGTGCCTGTAGTTCCATCTACTTGGGAGACTAAGAAGGGAGTATCACTTGAGCCCAGGAGGTCAAGGCTGCAGTGAACTGTAATCGTACCACTGCACTCCAGCCTGAGCAACAGGGCAAAACTCTGTTTCTTAAAAAATAAAAATAAAAAATAACCATAAGACATGTCAGTTGAATTGTCTGTCCCACCCTTCACGCTTTGCTCATTTATTATGCAACTACCATGTGCTAGACATGTTCACACATAGTTTTGGGAACGTTAAAGGATTCAGTTAGAACTAGAAAGCCAGTATGCAGCAGAATCATATTTTGTATAGAGATTTGTGTAATACCAAAGCTTGTGTTTATTCTAAACCATACTGACTTTGGGTATATGTGTAATATTAATGTTTAAGCAGGTATTATATTTAATTTTAATTTATTTTATTTAAGTTGCAGGATACATTTGCAGAATGTGCAGGTTTGTTACATAGGTAAACGTGTGCCATGGTGGTTTGCAGCACCTGTCAACTCATCACCTAGGTATTAAGCCCAGTATGCATTAGCTATTTATCCTGATGCTCTCCCTCCCCCGACCCCACCAGAAATACCAGAAATGGTATTTGGTATCTGGTACACCACCTGTGTAAGATGGATAGATTGCAAAAATTTTCTCCCATTCTGTAGGTGGTCTGTTCGCTTTGATGATAGTTTCTTTTGCTGTGCAGAAGCTCTTTAGTTAGATCTCAGTTGTCAATTTTTGCTTTTGCTGCATTTGCTTTTGATGTTTTCATGATGAAATATTTGCCCATGCCTATGTCCTGAATAGTATTATCTGGATTTTCTTCCAGGGTTTTTATAGTTTTGGGTTTTACGTTTAACTCTTTAATCCATCTTGAGTTAATTTTTGTATAAGATGTAAGGAAGTGGTCCAGCTTCAATTTTCTGCATATTCCTAGCCAGTTCTCCCAGCACCATTTATTAATAGGAAATCCTTTCCCTATTGCTTGTTTTCGTCAGGTTTTTCAAAGCAGATGGTTGTAGGTGTGTGGTCTTATTTCTAAATTCCCTATTCTGCTCCAATGGTCTGTGTGTCTGCTTTTGTACCAATACCATGCTGTTTTGGTCACTAAAGCCTTGTAGTATAGTTTGGAGTCAGGTGGTGTGATGCCTCTAGCTTTGTTCTTTTTGCTTAGGATTATATTTGCTATACGTGCTCTTTTGTGGTTCCGTATGAATTTTAAAATAGTTTTTTTCTCATTCTGTGAAGAATGTCAATGGTAATTTAATGGGAATAGCATTGAATCTATAAATTATTTCGGGCAGTATGGCCATTTTCACAATATTGATTCTTCCTATCCATGAGCATGAAATATTTTTCCATTTGTTTGTTTCCTCTGTGGTTTCCTTGAGCAGGGGTTTGCAGTTTTCTTTGAAGGGGTGCTTCACTTCTCTTGTTAGCTGTATTCCTACGTATTTTATTCTCTTTGTAGCAATTGTAAATCAGAGTTCATTCACGTTTTTCCTCTCTGCTTGTCTATTGTTGGCATATAGGAGTGCTTTTGATTTTTTAAGCAGGTATTTTATTATAATGAATTGACACATGCTGTCACTAATAACATGTCTGTATCTGATAACTCTTTAGGGAATATGTGAAAGACAACACTGCGTAGGCATATAACAACTTCACATAAAAGTGATTTTCAGGTTTCTTTCTGAATTAAGTCTACACATATTTTAAAGCATCCCTGACAAACTCAGAGATGCTTCCCACATTGTATTCAGTTCCTAATAATCTTTTGATAATACTTCCTTGGATTAGAAAACAAGTTAAAAAGGCAAAGACAGTCCCAAATGATCAAGTGATCTTTTAGACATTTGGCCTTCTTTTCTACCTCATTGTTAAATTATAATGAAAAAAATATGCCCTAGAAATTTGCTGGAAGCTCATACAAGATTTTTCTCCACTGTGACCACATTTCAGTAGAAATGGGTGAGTCATTGAAAAATTTTAACCTTTGGTTCCATTTCACCATATCACCACCTGTGAATACCAGTCATGTTACAGCAAAATTATAATATAGCCATTGCTTGCAAAAATACGGTGAAATAACCACTCTTTTACAGAGCTACATTTTTAAAATTCATTTGGTAAGCAACTTGGCAATATAAATAAGAGCTTAAAATATTAGCAAATATTGACCTAATAAATATACTTATGTGAATATAAACCAAGAAAAGTATTCTGAATACAGAAAGGATATGGGAAAAGGGGAAGCAATTAAGTACAAGTCTTATTGCAGCATGTTTCCCTACAGTAAAAAATAGAAAAGAAAACATAAATGTCTTTAATTGGGAACTAGTTAAGTAGCCTATGGCATCTTTACTTGATAAAATATTACACAATCAGTAGAATAGAATTTTGAAGATTTTATAATAACAGCATATGCTTACGGTACCATATTAAGTAAATTTGCTTTGCTTTAATTGCACCTGCATTCATAATCCCTTTAAACTAAATCTTCCATGCCTTTGTTCCTGAGAAACACTTTGCAGGATTCGAACTCATATTTGTAACCCCACCGCTCCCTCCACAACATGTCTTCATTAAAATCTAATAGCTTTTCGTGCTCCTGGGAGAGAAGAGAACCTAAGCAGAGATGTAAAATTGATACAGGAGGGATGAGAAGCCTGCGGATGAGCAGTACAACAGTTCCAGTCTCGGATGAAATTCTCTATCAGTTTTTTTTCTCCTTTGCTTCCTGAAGATCCTTTAAAATCTTATTTCTCAGTGAGTAATTTTGTCTTTATGATACAAAAGGTAATTCCCATACCTAATATTGTTTCTAAGCACATGTGAGTACCCTGCTGAGTTATATATGAGTTTTTTTGTGAATATGACACAAAATGAAAATTCTATTTCTAGAATAGAAAAAAATGTAAATTGACTTTCACACTCAAGTGAGTTGTTTCAGGGATTGGGGGGGGTAGATTCAGTGCATCATCTTCTCTGTATTCATGTGTAATTGATATAACTTTCAGCAATTGTTCTACATTTACAAACTTCATATTCAAAGAGTAAAGTCACAGACGTTATTGATTTTAAATAGATCTTAGGTTGCCCTCATCAAAAGTTGTCTTCTCTTGGGTAAAGGCATTAGCAGTCTCATTAAAAAGATTGTAAACTGCTGAGCATGACAAGTTTTAGTCCTTTTGTTGTTTGAGTGAGATTCCTGGATATCCTGCATTCTGCCTGTTTTGTAGTGAGAAATGGGCAGCTGGCATTCTAGCTGTCATTACTCATATTTTTTTTTTTCAATTTTTAGGCAATTGTTATAAAGCTCCCTAGATGGATAAACAACACTTTGATATGGCATGAGGAACTGTTTTTAGTGACCCTAGCTGATCAATAACAAGAATGTCATTTCTGCCCAAGCAAACAATAAGTTGTGAATAAATAACACATTAGAGCTGAAATGTGAACTTTCTAAAGATTGAGAAAAGATGGTAAAATGAAAATGCATACATGTTGGGGATATTATTGGATATTATTAAATAAAAAATGTTTTGTTTGCATCCTAGGTATAGTGATGTCTCAAGTATTATATAAAAATCTTTTACGTGTAAAACCATCCCATTTAGCCATCTTTATATTCTGTTTGTAGTATAGGCTCCAAATGTTGATTACTTAAGAAAAAGGCCAGACGTGGTGGCTCACGCCTATAATCCCAGCACTTTGGGAGGCCGAGGTGGGAGGATCACTTGAGGTCAGGAGTTCGAGACCAGCCTGGCCAACATGGTGAAACCCCATCTCTACTAAAAATACAACAATTGGCTGGATGTGGTGGCATGCACCTGTAATCCCAGCTACTGGGGAGGCTGAGGCAGGAGAATGGCTTGAACCTGGGAGGTGGGGGTTGCAGTGAGCCACTGCATACCAGCCTGGGGGACACAGTGAGACCGTTTCAAAAAAAGAAAAAAGAACAGGGCATTTAAGTCAGGCATGCTGGCACATGCCTGTAGTCCCAGCACTTTGGAAGCCCAAAGCGGTGGATCACCTGAACTCAGCAGTTCCAGACTAGCCTGGGGAACATGGTGAAACCCTGTCTCTACAAAAAATACGAAAATTAGCTGGGCCTGGTGGTGGGCACCTGTGGGAGAATTGCTTAATCCTGGGAGGTGGAGGCTGCAGTGAGCCAGGATTGCACCACAGCTCTCCAGCATGGGTGACAAAGTGAGATCCTGACTCAAAAAAAAAAAAAAAAAGAAAAAGAAAAGAAAAAGAAAAATACATTTAGCTAAAAGTGGTGTTATTGATCAAACATCAAGTCATACGACAGCAAAACTTTTCACTCTGTCATTACACAACAGTGATGCACCCTCAGGAAACACATGTACATGCATGCATGTGAGTGCGCGCACACACACACACAATGTATCTTTAAAGAAAAATATCAATTAAGTCTGCCTTATATCTTGTAAGTCCCTTGATCAAAGATACAGCATTATGATTTCTGATGTATCTGCTAAGCTTATTACCTTGCCAGGCCTATAATCAGTGCTCAATTCATGTCTTTTAATGTGTGAGAGACTGTGTATGTGATCATGAATTTATAGTGAGAACATGTTAAATCCACTTTAGCTGTGTGTTGAGGAAATCTTTTATATACTTAGAATATATATACTTTATATACTTAGAATTTATATATATTCTATATATTTATTTATACATATATTCTATATATAATATATATAGAATATATATACTTAGAATTTATATACTTAGAATAAATAATATATTTACCCAAATAATCTATAGTAAAATGTGAATTACTCAATTTGATATCCACATACTTAAACAGAGGAGAATTTGGGGCATAAATCTGCAATGCATAATTAATACTCTTTGCGGAAATACGACATTCTTACTTTCCTATAGCTCTGCTCCTTAGGAAAAGTATGGTGGCAGAGATGCCAGGACATGAATTGTTGTGGGCTACTTTGCATTACCTTATTATGCAGAAACCATAAATATAGCTTATGTGATGGAATTCCAAGTGCAGAATCCTTTTTGTAAGTGCCTTTAATGGTTGCCTTCTGAAGTTATTGGTCATTATTTGTAATATTTATCCATCCATAAAGGAAAATATACCATTTATAGAAAAAACACAGACCTCCATGTAAGAATTAAAACAACACAGATAAGAGACATTCCAGGTGGCACTATTATAATAATTAAAACTTTCTGGTGATGCTGATTACAATACTCTTTACTATCTCAATTAAGTACACTGTGTGCCATAGTTGAGAACTGTAAAATGTTAGGGTTGGAAAACACTAGATTGTATCTAGCCAACCTCCTTATTTTAGGGATGGTCACAGAAGTATCTGTCTGGAATCCTTATAGCATAGGTGATCCCTCAATGACATTAGGACTTGTATGACTTCAGAGTTTGAATGAAAGATTCTGTATAGAAATACAGCCACATAATGTCTCTATAGATGTGCAATTCAAATAATATAATAACTTAATAACCAAACTTGTTCCTAGGCAAATCTTGAGCCTCTGGTCCTAGAAAAATGGAAACTTACCTAGTCTGTCTTTCTTACCAACTAGGCCACATCTGTTCTTGTTTTTGTTTTGCGTATGAACTGAATAATTTCACAAGCTTAAATTTATACTAATATCAGTATTATTATCAATGTTATCCTATGTACCTAACACCTTTATTGGTCTTATTTAGTACATAAATTGTTCAATTTATGTAACACCTTTATTGGCCTTACGTAGTATATTTTTAACCTGAAGAGTTAATAATTGCATTAAAATTTGTGAAAACATCCTTAAAAGAAAACAGCCTTTCATGATGGAGACAGAATGACTTTATTATATCGTAGTAATAGAAAGTCCTTGAGAATGTAGTGCAATACTTTATTTTTCATGACAGTTTTAGCACCCTTACTTGCTGAGACCTTTGTAGGGGAAAGAGAATAAAGAGAAGACTAAGGTGAGGTTGACAGGGAATGCGCCCAGTGAGCATGGGTTAGAGATAGTGGTAGAATGCTCTCCAACTGTGAATGGTCAGGATTATTGGGTTACAAATTTGCTGAAGGAAGCAGAGCCTCTCTCATTGATCAAAAAAGCAATTTGGTTTTTGCAATCTTGTGACTGTCAGAAATGGGATTTAAAAAGTGATGAGTGTGTGCATTATGTGGTCCAATTCAAAGTACATTTAACAAATTTCCTTAGAATTCTCTAACTTCCAAGAACAATGCTAATTGCTGAGCAGACAAAAATAAGGAAGAGAAAAGCCAAGCTAACAAGCAATTTGTTTGGTGAAGTCACCAACGTATATGAGCATCTGAGATGTACAGATTGTAAAAAAAGAACCCAAGCTAAAAGCGATTCACATCCCGCCCCATGAAAGTCAAGGTGGGAGGAAAGCGCTAATGCCTGAATCTTAAAGGGGAGGTTGAGTTCTATGTAGATAAGCAAGATGGGAGAGAATGTCCTTGAAATTATGGGTATGACACAGCAAAATAGTCCTTCAGGTATCCAAGCAATTATTAAAGATAAAGAGAGGTTATCAAAATGCTTACAATAATCCACACGTCACAGAGGTAGACCTCAAGTCCTTGACCTTCATTTCTGGGCGTGGGTATTCCCTTCCCACATCAGACTGCGAGATGCAGCTCTGGCTTCATTTGGGTGGGAAATGTATATTCTTGCCCTGTTTTGGACACTTAGCAAATGCTGTGAGCGCCACTCTCACAACAGGAATTTGCTTTATGTTTTAAATTATGTTCCAATTGTGGACACGTTCTACAGTATCTCCTTCAGCAGCTGGCTCTGTCAGTCTAGGTAGCATCTAGAGGGAAATGCAGTCTCCGATCCGAATGCCTTGCTTGCCTTCATTTTTTTGTATTACGTTCCATCCTGCCTTTGTTTATTCCTACTTAACAAAACATCATTTACTCTCTCTCTGTAACTCTTGCCTCATAGTGAGACTGTTCTTTCATACTGTTTCCCCAGCTATAGACAATCTCAGACATTCCTAAACTGTCTGGGTTTTCTTGCAGCAGATCTGTTGCAGGTGTCCTCACTCCATGTAATCTTGTCTAATTAAGCAGGAACTGGGCAGCTACCACATATGTAACTTGTCAGGGACGAAAATGCCTTCCGTGTGAAGCCACTCCATGTTAGAAAACATACGTGGGCATTTTTATTGACTGTTGACCTCCAAATGAAGGGAAATATTTTTACTTATAAGCTAGTGTATGTGAGATTATACCCTGATTGGGGGTGGAGATGGGAAGCCTCATCCTTCCAAGGAGACATGTGCTGATTTCAAATGATATTCACGACAGATTCAGCGTCAATCAAGACCTAGGCCCTCATGGTTTGTATTGGTTTTTCTCTTATTCTATGCAGCCACTCACCCACCACTCTTGGTCCTGCCTTTAGGTGCTATTATTTCCTGAAGGGAGTACCATTTTGATCAGAAGATTTAAATTCTTTACAATATTCCCAATCACTCTTCTCAAAACTACCACCAGAGGCTGGTTCTGCTTCCCTTTTCTAGTAGGATGTAGTGGTTACTACCCAGAAGAAATACAAAGCTCAGCCCATCAAGATTGGGGCAAGATGTATTCATGTGACAATCACGTAATGAGCTGTGAAATCATGATTTTTAATGAAACTCCGCTGTCTGCTATACAGATTAGAGTATGTCATCCTCATGAACAAGCAGAAACATTTCTAGATTGATTGAGCAGTCTTTTCTGAAGCAGTATCTCCATTTATTTTGCAGAGGCCTTTAACCCCTAAGAATAGTAGCTGATTGTAATTGCATAAATGGCATAATATTTGAGAGACCTGTGGAGAACTTGTGTAGAACTGAAGCCTTTTTTGAGCAGAGCCTGCCATTGTACATTGTTCTTATTCATCATTCCTGATTTCATCAGTAAGGATATTTGTATGGAAATGGATTAAGGTTTATAGGTTTATTTTATTGTGCTGTAGATTATGCTGTAATTATACCACTGATGGATTGTATTAAACTGCTTTGTGGGACACTTTCAAAACACATCAGACTCCGGAAGTGGTGCGGTCTACAAAATCTGCTTTTTTGTGTCCCACCTGGGGTTTTTGAGAGTCTGCCTCACTTAGCGCCCCCACGCCTTCCAACGCATATTATTTTTCTCTTCATTTTTAGGCTTGAAGAGAATTAACTTGGCTGAGGTAAATTTACTTAAAAGACCCTCCAATCCCATGTATATATATATGTTGATAAAAAGCAAGCAAAATTGAACAAAAAGCATAAAGAGAATGAATAACAAGTGTATTTACTGTTAGTGTATGATTTGTTTTTATTCTAACCTCTGACATTGTTGAATAAGAAAGTTATTGTGAATGTTTGGATTACAGAGGTGTGAAAATTTTCGTGTGGATTCTGGTTAATATCTTGCTAAGGTGGTCTGTGGTTTCCAAGGAACTGACACAGGACAATCTGAAAAATAATCTTTCGTCAAGGAGCCATTTGACTAAACTATTTATGCCTCATCTATGCAGGCTTATCAGACTACAACTTTGGGATTTGAAACCTCAGAGTTCCCTCACGGCTCTTACTTCCTCAGTTTAGAAAAGTGGCATAAAGGTTTTGTCAGGCCACATAATTTTTAAGTCTAAAACCAATTTCTAGACCTTGGCCTGTAGCAGGCCCATCTCCACCATCTCTCTGCCCACCCTGATCATAATCTCAACTGTGCTCTTATTTGCTTATTATTCTCCAGAAACACTGGTCTTCTTGTCATTGCTATGACATACTCAGTTCATTTGTTCCATAGCAATTTACCTTTCCTGAAATACCTATTTGGAATATTATTTCTCAACGTCTTTATCCATCTTGCTTCCCTTTGTGGGAATGCTACCCACGTGTGCAAATGTTACTGCCCTATAGATGCCCTTATAACCACCATATCTATAATCATGCCCCTCCTGCCCCTTTTGTATAATTGCCTGGTTTTTACCTCATAGAATTTACCTCTATGTATAAAAGTTCCAGGAAGATGGAGACTTTTGCGTCATTCACTGGTGTTCATTAATTCCTAATGCAATGTTTTATAGGCACTCAATAAGTATTTGATGAATTAATGACCAAATGAGTGAATGAAGAATAAAATTAAGGCTGGAATTCAAATTTTTAAAACCTGAATAACAGTAAATAAAAAGGAAAGTCTAGGCAGATCTGAGAAAACAAAAGGATAAATATTAAATATGGTAGACCCTTGACTTCTCTTCTATGAATAGGTATCCCCGGAAGATATTCAGTACTTCCTAGAAAAACAAACAAGTCATCAAACTGGCATATGGGAATGAGGGGGCGGGGGGAGCAAAGAAGAAGTGGAATCAATTAGAAGCTGCAGACTGTCCCTTTAGCAAATGACTGAATGCTAAATTTAATTGGATGTGCTCCACTAGAGAAAATAGTCTACTCGTTAAAACATCAATACCTGAAGTTCCAAGCAATCTGGCATCTTTTTTGAATTACAATATGTGCAAAAGAAAGACTCCTACAATATTTTATCCCAATGGTAGTTTTTACCCATAATTTATACTGGTTGTGCAATCTGTGTAGATAAGAATTTTGTGATATTGATCATCTGGTTTTGAATCAATGTTACAAGCATATTCATATTTGTGAAACTGATAGATTGTTATATCTTACTCCCCTGAGCTTTAAATCAATCGCAAACAAATGTTTTCATAGCCTTTGTATTTTGAGTTGGAACTCAAAGTAAAAGATGGGATTTGTGCAAAGGAAAGAACATATGAAGTTCAAAACCCTGGGTTCTTGTGCTTGGTTTAAACTTTAGTAGCATCTAAATTTTTGGCTAGTCTTTCAAACTCAATTTTCCTGTTTACACATTAGAGATTGTTCACAAGTCTTTTGTGAAGACCAATGAGACAACATTTATGAATGAATTTTATAAACTAAAAAGTAAGGAATGTTCTAACAAATATTAAATAAGTGCAGAAGTAACCATAGTAATTTGATTTAAAAGATTTACATATCAGTTTGGAAGTAATATGTAAACGTTGTTCTACGGTCATCAAAATTCTACAATACATTCCTAACTATTGCTCCCAACGTATTGATCTTGTCACATTGGTCTTGTTCCCCCTCAACACGTCAGGCTCATTCTCACCTTGAAGCTTCTCATTTGCTGTTCCTTCTTACTAAAAATATCTTTCTCCAGATGCCTTTGTTCGTTGCCAGATATAGGATGTACTTCAGATAATTTGCTCTCAGAAAGCCATTCTTTGGCGAACCTACATGAAGAACCAGCCCACCCTTATATACACCTTCACAAATAGATGATTGCTGGCAAATTTCACATTTCCAACTTGTATTGATTTAAAAGTCCTTTGCACTATCTGAAATCATCTTACTTATGTGCATACTGATTACTGTTTACTGTCACATGCCACTCCTTACAAAAGAATGTAAATTTCATGAGAGCTCTTATTGACTTCTAGATTAATAGTCTGAGATTCATGTTGCAGAAAAAAGAAAGAAAGACAGAAAAGAAGGAAAAAAGAAGAATGATGAAAAGAAGGAAAGAAGGAAGGAAAAATATTAAATTGGAAAAAGTTTGTGAAAAGTTTATGACGTTATTTGGTATGTAATTAAGGCTGAACAAATGATAGTTGTAACAATTATGACTGTTTTTGTTCTTGATGTGAGCATTGTGTAGGTTTGTTCCTCAAAAGATAGGAACATAAATCTTAAGATCTGGCTTGAGCATCATTGTTTCTACTAAATTCCTAGGAACAGTTAATGTCATGTTTAGCATTTAGCTGTTACCCAGTAACCAATGGAATAATCAGCAATGTCATGAACAACACCATCAGGACCACATGTGGGAGCTTATAGCCTGAAATATAAGGAAGAAAATTAAGTTTTAGAACACAGAATTTGTGAATATAAGGGTATAAAGTTTGACTTTGAAAATTTCAAAATGCATTTGTTTCCTTTAAGCATTTCATGGTTTGTGTATTAAAAATATATGTTAAGATTATTGTGGTGTTTTGGTCTAGAGAAAGATCTATTCGTATTTAATTATAAGTTAGATTATTTCAGTTTTTGCATCCTTGAAGCAAATTCACATTTCTTTGCTTTTGAGCCATATATGAACTCAAATTCCCTAGTTGTCACTACATGTATTTAAAGAAGAAATTTCAAAAGTAGTCTTACTAGACATAAATTTTTCACCACTTACTGTGAAAAAGGCATGATAGAATTTATGGCAAAAAATTTCAAAAAGTAATTTGGAGAGAGATGATAAGATGATTGAATAGATAATTAGAATCCAGTAAGAGTCTGATTTTAAAATAATACTTATGATGAGTTATTAAAAGATAATCCTACCAATGTTAATATTTATTATTTTTATTTTTCTGTGTGTCATTTTGAAAAATTTAGAATATTGATCAGGGAGATATGTGATAGCAGTCACTCTCCTTTTTCTTAGGCAATTCTCTCTTTTACAGGCATACGTGGCAGGTAGAACACGGGATAAAAATTTAAAAATAAAATAAACATTTTCTACACTGATTTATTCAAAACCTCACTATGTCTCAACAGGTTAGGTTTTCCTGATGACTCAGCATAGGTTAAGTAATTTGGAAGAGGTTCAGGACTTTTGTTTGTTTGTTTGTTTGTTTTTGAGACGGAGTCTCGCTCTGTCTCCCAGGCTGGAGTGCAGTGGCGCGATCTCCGCTCACTGCAAGCTCCGCCTCCCGGGTTCACGCCATTCTCTTGCCTCAGCCTCCCGAGTAGCTGGGACTGCAGGCGCCCGCCACCGCGCCCGGCTAATTTTTTGTATTTTAAGTAGAGACGGGGTTTCACCGTGTTAGCCAGGATGGTCTTGATCTCCTGACCTCGTGATCCGCTTGCCTCGGCCTCCCAAAGTGCTGAGATTACAGGCATGAGCCACTGCGTCTGGCCTCAAGACGTATTTTAATAGGTCATTTCTAGAGAAGTAGCAATTTACAAATGAAATACTTATTGTAAGTATTAAAGGTTCAATTTGAAGGAAAACTATTCGTAGGAGAATCATCTTGAATCATTATCTTGTAGTGCTAAGTGTACTGTGTTATATATATTTTTGAGCTAAGTAATAACTCAATTAATATTTGAAACCCCTAAAAACTTTTTCCAGTGACTGTACCAAGGAGTGGTTCACACAGGCAAGACTTCTAAGGAAGTAAAAAGAAAATATTATTTCATGATCTGTTCTTAAGCTTCAGTTGCTTTGTATTCTACTGATTTGGTGTTTATAATTTAGCTTCTCTTTTGCCAATTACCTTCATAATTATTTTTACCTTAATAGGCCCCCTTCTTTAGTCAGCCTCTCCATTTCAAAGACTACAGACTTCTAGGAACTCATTCTTGAATAAATCCTGCAGGAGATCCTTAAGTTACTCTTTCATTGGTTAATTTTCATTAAGAATCCTTTAAGGAGTTGATTGAAACAATCAGGTGTATTACCCCATATGACCTCATCAGTTGGGTGGGATTCGGTATTTGAATAATTACATTTGACTTATAGGTAGAACTTCAGGTTATGATTTTGAGATATTAGTGTTCTTTTTGTTCTTTATAGCCCCTGTTCAAGAGTTAAAAAGATTAAGACATAACACAGGCAAAATCAAAAGTTTTCTAAATTTCCATTAGAAATAAGTAAGGACATTGAATTACATAAAGCTAGCCTAAGTACTCATTGGAAACCAAATCTAAGCTAAAACATTCTTTTGAGCTCCAAAGAGCTTAGAGTACAGCAGGTTTCAGCTTTTGTATATTTCCCGATTTGCATTTTTTGAAGCCATTAAATGTGTTTGTTCTTAGAACCCCTGTACAGAAACGATGTCAATACTATAATATTGCCTGCTATTTTTTGCACATAGCTAATAAAAGATTTGGGTAATGTATTTAAGTATAAATACTTGAGCTGTGTAAATTTATCTGATGAAACAACAATAAAGCCCCTAGCAGGCATCAGTGATACACATTTATGCTACTGAAATATATTTGAATCAAGGATTTATTTGTGCATGTACATGAACTCATTTGTATATGGATATATTTGCTCATAATTAAAAATGTTAAGCATCTTAACCAATATTAAGATGAATTCAAAATAGTCGCTGCAAACAATGTAAGACAGAAGCAATCCATATTAAGGCAGAATTTAACACAGGGTTATCAGAGTGAGGAAGAGGGTCATTTTGGACAATTTAGAAGGATACGCCACCTGGGTAAAATTTTGAGTTAATATGTTAATTGAAGATAATAAGGAAGAACAAATAACCAGGTTGAGGGAGTGGCATAAACAAAGGCACAAGTTATGTAATGAATCCTCACCTGAAAATGCGAGAAATGGAAGATGTGGGAACAATTCCTCCTACCTAATATCATGGGGGTTGGAACACTTTAACACCATTTCTACAGTCTATTATTTTAAGTAATTATCTTTGTTTCTTTGCTTAGTCAATTAATTTCCAGTTTGTTATTACTCTTTTATATATTTAACGTTTGCTTACATTTACTAGCATTTATTTCTTCTTGTGTCTCAGACCTCTTATCTGGAGCCTTTTTTTCTGCTTGAAGAACTAGTTTCCTTTAATGAAGTTCTGATGGTGATGAATGCTTTGTTTTTGTTTACTTGGTATGTCTTTTTTCTATCATCATTCTCTGACCTTTAATCAGTGGAGCTTGTGTGTTTATAGTTAATATAAGTATTGATTTATTTGGAGTGCTTTCTAATTATCTTGTCTATTCCAAGTTTCTCTTTCTCTCTCCCCATCCTCTCTCCCTCATCTGATTTTGACTGAGAATGGCTTTAACCAGTCTTCTTCTTTACTAATGTGGTAATGAGGTTCTCTAATTCTGAAACTTTATGGCTAAACTTTACAACTAACCATTAAATATGTGTCCTTAACTTATCAAATTCTAATGTCAGTCAAGGCCATTATTTTCCTTTCGAATAGCACAAAAACTTTGCAAAATTTAAATCTTTTACTCTCCTCCTAATCCTCCTAAATTATATAGTCTTGCACTTGTTGTTTTAATTCTTACACATTTACATTTCAAAATTTGTTTTTTTTTTTTTTTCTTGAGACAGAGTCTCGTTCTGCCCAGGCTGGAGTGCAGTGGCGCAATCTTGGCTCACTTGCAACCACCGCCTCCCAGGTTCAAGCAATTATCCTGCCTCAGCATCCTGAGTAGCTGGGATTATAGGCGCATGCCACCATGCCCAGCTAATTTTTGTGTTTTTAGTAGAGACAGAATTTCACCATGTTGGACAGGGTGGTCTCAAACTCCTGATCTCAGGTGATCCACCTGCCTAGGCCTCCCAAAATGCTGGGATTACAGACATGAGCCACTGCACCTGGCCTATATTTCAAAAAAGTATGTATTTTTTGCTGTATACACTCAATGTTTATTGTTATACATCTTAATTTTCTGATCTTCGTTCTGTTCTGCAACTTTTTCTATCTGGAGTCATTTTCTGTTTGACTGAAGCATTTAGAATTACTTTTAATGTAGGTGTGAGGATGGAAAATACTTTTTTGTATGTATGTCTGAAATGTCCTTATTTCCCCATTATTATTGAAGAATATTTTTACTGATAATTAAATTCTGAGTAGGCACTTGTGTTTTGCTTTCTGTGTTTTTTTTTACATTAAAAATGTCATTCCACTTTCTCAGGTTTTCGTTTTATCCTGTTGAGAGCTTAGGTGTCAAACTTTTGTTTCTTTGAAAGTAGTGTTTCATTTTTCTCTTGTTCCTCTTAAAGTTTTCTTTTTTCTGCTTTTTATTCTGGTTTATTATGATGTATCAAATTGTGGATTTATTTGGAGTTGTCCTTCTCAGAAAATTCCGTGTTTCTTAAAACTGATAATCAATGACTTTTAGGTCTCGAAAATTGTCAGTTGTAATCTTTTCAATATTTCTTCTGACCTTATCTTTACCTGTTCTTTTCCTTTTAGAAATATTCAACTTCTTTTACTCTATTTTATATATCACTTAACTTTTCCTTATGTTTACTATGTCTTGTCTTTCTGAACTGAATTCTTGACTTACATATACTCCAGTTCACTAATTACCTTTTCTGCTTTGTTTAATTTACCATCAAATGTGTTCATTGAGTTATTAAATTTGACTTTTTTCATTTCTAGAATTTTTATTTGCTATGGAACCTTATATTTTCCTCTCCCTGATCCTATGTTCAATCTTATTTTGCTTATTTACATAGTTGGCATGTTTTCTTTTGTTTTATAAGACTGATCCAATGTTTTCAATATTTTAAATTCAGTGTATGTCTTTTTCTGTTCTCTATATTTTCTCCTAGGCTCACTCATATTGTCTTATTTCATTTTGTGGCAGTTATCTTTGTGTGCTGTTCCTTTCCTTTGAAATTTGTGCCTGTTTCCTGAGGCCTGGAATTAATATGCCTTTTTACAAAGAGATGAGTGTTTAATTTTGCTAGATGTCTGGGGAGACTGCCCTTTGGGACTACCTAAAATTAGTTTGTGAATTGAGATTCTCTGGCCCACCTAGATTATACATAAACCAACAAAAAGTCAAACGCTGGCAAAACTTCTCAAGAACATTTTGTCCTTTCTTCTCCCTTCTCATGCTAGCATCAGGACCAAATATTATTCTCATTGCTTATTTTTTAAACAGAAAGATAAGTCATATTTATATTTGCTCATTCCTGGAATTCCAACTTAATGTAAGGGAGGGTATTCTATAAGACTCTCACCTTTGGTGAGGCTAGTCTTGGGTTTGGTATTTCTTACCCTGCAAGGATGGCACAACAAAGCCTGAGAGTATGATATTGGTTGATGCCAATTGGTGTGCTCTAGTATTTCACCTTAATTAATATCTTTTCAGATCTACAAATCTTTTAAGATGATGGAGTTTGTTATTTATTTATTTTTTAATTTTTATTTTATTTTTTATTTTTTTGGCAGAGTCTCACTCTGTCACCCAGGCTGGAATGCAGTGGTGTGGTCTCAGCTCATGCAACCTCCACCTTCTGGGTTCAAGTGATCTTCCTGGCTCAGCCTCTAGAGTAGCTGGGACTATAGGCACTCGCCACCACCCTGGGCTAATTTTTATATTTTTAATAGAGACAGAGTTTCACCATGTTGCCCAGGCTGGTCTTGAACTCTTGGCCTCAAATGATCCGCCCATCTTGGCTTCCCAAAGTGTTGGGATTACAGGTGTAAGCCACTGCATCTGGCTGGAGTTTGTTAAATTCTAATATATTTCAATATCTGACTTTGGGGACTCTGGGAAAGGGTGGGAGGAGAATGAGGGATAAAAGACTACCTATTGGGTATAGTATACACTGCTTGGGTGGTGGATACACTACAATATCAGAAATCACCACTAAATAACTTATTTATGTAACCAAAAACCACTTGTACCCCAAAAACTATTGAAATAAAAATAAAAACTAAAAAAATTCTAATACATTTCAGTAGAGAGATGGTTAGGATAACCTCATTTATTATGCTGCAGTTATCATTGGTGGCTTACTCTTCCCTTTCTGATCATCATTTCTTTAATTATTTTTGCATATCATCAAATTTTATGAATTTTCCTCTTCCCTGAACTTCATAGGTTCTTTACAAAAACAAAACAAAAACAAACTAATGAGATGTGTTGAATAACTCTGATTTTTTTTCTTTTCATTTTGTCCTAATTTTATCTCATTATTTCACTTCCTCTTTTTTTTTGAGTCAGAGTTTCGCCCTTATTGCCCGGGCTGGAGTACAACGGGGATACCTCAGCTCACTGCAACCTCCGCCTCCCGGGCTCAAGCAATTCTCCTGCCTCAGGCTCCCGAGTAGCCGGGATTACAGGCATGCACCACCACACCTGGCTAATTTTGTATTTTTAGTAGAGACGGGGTTTCTCCATGTTGGTCAGGCTGATCTTGAACTCCCGACCTCTGGTGATCTGCCCGCCTTGGCCTCCCAAAGTGCTGGGATTACAGGCGTGAGCCACCATGCCCAGCCTCCCTTCCTCTTTTAACAGTTGAACGGCATAGAAGTTTAACAATTGCCATTTTCCACTATATTATCTATTCTCCATGAGATGGGTTATATTTGTGTGGTTCACATTTTTTTACTCAGCAACAATTTATAATTTGTGACATCTATATTTGTTTTGAAATACAAAAATTGGTATATGCTTATTGTGGAAAACCAGAGCAATACATAGGAAATAATCCATAATATCTTAACACAACTGCTGTTAATATTTTGTACTATCTCTTTTCACCTTACTTTAGTAGGCCATTTATTACAGCACTGTTAATCATAAGGTGATATTATTTTCTCTTTTTATTTAACATAAGTAAATGCTCATGCAGTAATGTTGTATCCCCTGGTTTGTTGCTGACATTTAATAATTAGTGTATAATATCCATTATCTGGTAGGGTCAAGTTAAAAGCTAATGCTTTGAAGATAGTTTATCTGGATTTGACTTCTAAATCATCACTTATGTACTGTATAATTGTGGGAAGATTTTTCAAACTGTTTGGAAGTCATTTCCTTTATATATTAAATAAGGATATTAACAGTGGTATTAGGCTGGGTGTGGTGGTTCATGCATGTGAATCCCAGCACTTTGGGAGGCTGAGGTGGCAGTGTCACTTGAACTTGAGAGTTCGAGACGAGCTTGGGAAACATAGTGAGATTAAGTCTCTACAAAAACTGAAAATAAAATATAGCCAGGTGTGGTGGTGTGTGCTTGCAATCCCAGCTACTTGGGAGGCTGAGGTGGGAGGATCAATTGAGCTCGGGAGGTTGAGGCTGTGTCGAGTCAAGATCCTGCCAGTGTACTCCAGCCTGAGTGATAGAGTGAGACTCTGTCTCAAAATAATAATAATAAAATAAAGACTGTGATAACTGTCTTAACAGCAGTTACCAAAAAAAGCCTTTAAATCAGTGGCATTAGATAATACATGTAAAACACAGGGATGTATCTGTAACATACCTGGCACTCTGATATTTGCCACTTTTAATATTAAAAATTTTGAATAGGAGGAGCATGATAATGCTCAGAGTTATTGGATTTGGGATGTTATATGCATTATTGTTTCCCAAATGTTTAAGTGGAAAACTTACAGCAAAAATAAGTTGCAGTTCTTTCCTTTCTGGAATCGTATGACTCATCAGATTAAGAAGTTAGACTGTGGGCATTTACAGCGGAATTAGGTTGCTTGTGTGGGGAGAGTAGGGGAGTGTTTTCTTAGTGCGACATCATTTTATGTCTCACAGTTTTCCAACATTGTTTCAGCTGATCATCAGGAATTTTCTTTTCTTCCTATAATGCTGTACATGAGACCTATAAGGATACTTAATAACTACATCATCACTCATTCATGGCTCTGCTCTTAACTAATTGAATTCTTTTTCTGCATACATAGTGCATCTGAAACTATCTCAGTGTATGCCACGTGGACAGATTAGATTACTTCTGAAAACACTTTTTTCACAAAGAGTAAGAATCAACTTTGTGGTATAATCAATGCTGATTTTTTTGTTTGCTGAAGGAACAGCACAAGTTGGGCAAGGAAGCACCTCTCACTTGTATAGAGCACTAGACAATCACAGCCAGAAAGCATCTTAGAAACCATCTTATTTTTCTGCTGATGAAAGGGAGCTTCTGAGATTGTTTTCCGTATCACACCAGGTGATTGTACCTGGCTAGTCACCTCTATCATTGAAAAGAGCTGGTTACCTTTTATCTTGACAATTTTAGTTTAGTTATTTCATATGTCTTATTGGGTTGTCTCATCAGTGATTCAAAAGGCTCCTATAATCTCCCCGGATCTTCAATCCTGAATCATAATAACTTTCCCACAGCACTGGCCCCTTTGAAGAATTGTTTAAGTTTTTCTAAATTCTTCCTAGATTTTCTACTACATTTACAGATACTCATTATTTTGATTTCCATTATTCATGAAGGCATACAAACAGTTGGAAAATCTCAAAATGTGAGCCCAATGATTTTTTTTTTCAATTCTTGAGCATATTTGGATTAAATCCACCTTGAAATGCCTTTTGGACATAAATTTCCACTAGTTGTCCTGCGAAAGCTTTTTTGCTTTGTTCACACACAGGCCACAGATGTGAAATTTGGCTGTACCATTTAGAAAGATTTTGGCAACTTGTAACAGGAATTCACTACTCAAATTGAGTAAACAAAAGGGAAATATGTTACCTCACAAATCAAGAAGTCCGACTGAAGCATGGCATATTAGGTAGGTAAAGATAAAGCTGTTAGAAAAATAATATTCAAAAATATAGTAGTTAAAGTAAGAGCGCTCCTTTTCAATGGGCCTTTGAGGGCAGGTAAGTGGCTCTGCTCTGCCCGGGTGTGGTGGCTCACGCCTGTAATCCCAGCACTTTGAGAGGCCAAGGTGGGTGGATCATGAGGTAAGGAGTTTGAGACCAGTCTGGCCAACATGGTGAAACCCCGTCTCTACGAAAAATACAAAAATTAGCCGGGTGTGGTGGCACGTGCCTGTAGTCCCAGCTACTCAGGAGGTTGAGGCGGGAGAATCACTTGAACCCAGGAGGCGGAGGTTGCAGTGAGCCAAGACTGCACCATTGCATGCCAGCCTGGTTGGACAGAGTGAGACTCTGTCTCAAAAAAAAAAAAAAAAAAAGGCTCTGCTCTATGAGGTCATTCCCCCAAAAATTCCTTCTGTTACTCCAAGATCCTATGATGTTATCATCATTCCTTTGCTCATTTCTGGCTTACTAGCTATATATAGAGAGAGAACTATATATATATATACACGTGTGTGTATATATATATACACATATATACATATATACATATATGTGTGTATATATGTATACATATATACACGCATACATATATACGTGTCTATATGCATACATATGTACGTGTCTATATGCATACATATGTACGTGTCTATATGCATACATATGTACGTGTCTATATGCATACATATGTACGTGTATATGCATATATATGTACGTGTGTATATGCATACATATGTACGTGTATATGCATACATATGTACGTGTGTATATGCATACATATGTACGTGTGTATATGCATACATATGTACGTGTGTATATGCATGCATATGTACGTGTGTATGTGCATGCATACATATATGTGTGTATGTGCATGCATACATATATGTGTGCATGTGTATGTATACATATGTGTGTATGTGTATGTATACATATGTGTGTATGTGTATGTATACATATGTGTGTGTATGTATGTATACATATGTGTATGTGTATGTATGCATATGTGTGTATATGTATGTATACATATGTGTGTATATGTATGTATACATATGTGTGTATATGTATGTATACATATATGTGTGTATGTATACATATATGTGTGTATGTATACATATATGTGTGTATGTATACATATATGTGTGTGTGTATGTATACGTGTGTGTATATATATGTATACATATGTGTGTGTATATATGTATACATATATATATGTACATATATATATGTTCCAGCCCGTAGGTGAAGGTATCAAGAAGTACAAAACAGGCAATTTCCTTTTAAAGAGGAGGTAATATGACAGTTGAAGATCACGCCAGTTCTATTCACATTCTGTTTCCAAGGACTCATTCTCAAGGCCATGTCTGGCTGAGAAAATGTTTGGCCTAATAAAATGGAAGTGAAATTTGTTACTAAACGGAAGAAGGGAGAGCAGATACTAAGAGGCAGGAGAGAACTAGCAGCACCAGCCACAGGCAGCTTTCACTGTGTGTTGATGCAGCAGCTCATTTATGTCAACTTCCTTCCTTTGCTATTCTCTGCCATCAGTGATGTGTGATTTTTTTCCCTTATGGAAGTCCTCCTCCCTGTCTTAGGAAAGCTACCAATGATCCAAGCGCTCAGTCTGGAAGTCGGATATTCATGGGAAAAAAGGACTATTCTCTTTTGTGGGATTTTGTTTCAGAAATGATTTAACCGTATCAGAAGGCTCTCAGCAGTCTTCCTCCCAGGGTTATATGCCTATTGATGGATACATAAAGAAAAGTTGAGCATTATAATTGCTTAGAACAGTCAGTATAAACTGCTAAGCTGGGCCTGGGCCATCGCCTCTGAGTTACAGAGATAAGGAGTCAATACTTAAACAAACCTAGAATTCTGTTTTCCAGAAAGAAGAGAAAGGATGAATAGAAGGCAATCACTGCTTACTGAAGAAGTACAACTTCCTAGTTTAAAGTTGTTCCAGGAATCTTATAATCACCTTTTCCCCCACAAATAAAGAAATGAAAGTCCAGATAGTTTAAAGGACTAGCGCAAGGTCATATAGCAAGCTAATGGTTGAACTGTATAATGCCATTTTTTCAAAAGCCCCAAACAAATGTACATATAAATAAACAATGCAATCTATATTTCAACATATGCTTATGTTGATAAAGCAACAGCTATGTAAGTTTGTACACATGAATGAACAGAATTCATTATAACACTTTCTCAAAGGGGCCTTAAAAATAACAACTGAGTTCAAGTTGTAATTTTCCACTTCTGGTTTTGGAGAAAAACCAATGCTGTTCTCTGTGACTTCTATCAGATCTAGACATTGAAATCGTATGGTTATTTAAATCAAGCAGTGGTGAGTCTGCAACTATTGTGTACCAGCTGTGTAGAGGGGAATGCAAGTGGGGAGAGAATGTGAGGGACAAGAATTCCACATAAAGAAAATAAAGGCATAAAGTTACAATGGATGCTGAAGTAAAATGAGAAATGAGACATAATGGACTGTAGTATTGAAAATATTTATGAGGTAGATGGGTTTACATTTCTGGTCAGCACAGTTTGTAAGGATAGATTGAGCATCAGAATGGATGTTACAGTGGAGGACTCTGAGTGACCAAGACAAAGGGGGAGAAACAAATGTTAAGACAAGTAGGAAAGAAGAAAGGACACTGGCTTCATGATGTGGGCTGGAGAGTTGGAAAAGGATATACTTGGATCTTACTGGACTCATAGAAGCCTCTCTCAGATTACCCTCTGAATAAAGTTCAAGATTCTCTTTGAAGAGTGAGGGAAACATTTAGGAGCTTTTTAGCAGAGATAAAAATGATATCATCAGGAAAAGATAAAGTGGACATGTGTGTAGATGAATAAGAAGTAAAAAGAAGGAAGTCAATTAAAGCAGTTAAGAAACATTGCAGTCAACAAGGGTCAAATCTTTGTATTGTTTTTAGTAGAGAGTTGAACTACTCTGACAGGTATAGTTGAAAACAGAACACAAAAGTGAACATGTTTAAAAAGTGGTAGCAGCAGGTCACAGTACATCTCCAGAAGTCCTCATTTGAAGTGATGTGTAAACATGCCTTAGCTCTCCAGAAGACAGAGCTCTTGCCACTTCATCAGGTGGCAACTCCCCCATCACTGAAATGTTCAGAGGTTGGAAGGACACTTGGGAAAGGCAGCTTTATCTTAACATCTGGATTCAATGTGGTCGAGCAGAAATAAATAATACAATCTCCTTTCATCTCTATCATGAAAATATTTTTGACTGTAATGTGGAAATGTCCCCTCACATAGAAGATTGTTTTGTTTTGTTTATTTTCAGACGGAGTTTCGCTCTTGTTGCCCAGGCTGGAGTGCAGCAGTGGTGCAATCTCGGCTCCCTGCAACCTCTGCCTCCCGGGTTTAAGTGATTCTCCTCCCTCACCCTCCCAAGTAGCTGGGATTACAGGCACCTGCCACCATGCCCAGCTAATTTTTTGTATTTTTAGTAGAGACAGAGTTTCACCATGTTGGCCAGGCTGGTCTCAAACTGCTGACCACAGGCGATCCACCTGCCTCAGCCTCCCAAGGTTCTGAGATTACAGGTGTGAACCACTGGGACCAGCTAGATAGAAGATTTTAACTAATAAAACACAGTAGGCTGGGCACTGTGGCTCACACCTGAAATCTCAGCACTTTGGGAGGCCAAAACAAATGGATTGCTTGAGCTTAGGAGTTTGAGACCAGCCAGGGCAGCATAGTGAGACCCCTTCTCTATGTTAAAAAAATCAGTAAAAATATTTATAAGAATCTATAATAAAATACCCATGCATGTTTACTAAACATACATAACAGAGAGGAGAGAGATAGGGTGTGTGTGTGTGTGTGTGTGTGAGAGAGAGAGACAGATATTATATGAGCTAGATGTAATGTATATACTTCACATCAGTGGTTGTCAACTAAGGGTAGTTTTGTTCCCCAGGAGTCACTGGGGAATGTCTGGAGACATTTTTGCTATTCACAACTGGGGAGGTGTTACTAGCACATAGAAGATAGAGATAATTAAGACCCCCATCCATCCCGCCAAAAAAGCATTATCTAGTTCTAGATGTCAATAGCGCTGAGGTTAAAAAATCCTGCTTTAAATGAAAAGGTGCACTGGCCACTCAATCAACATTCTTGTTTTGCTTCAAATTGTGTATGCTGTTAGTTATATATTGTGCTGATTTACAGATCCATGTGCTAGGAGTGCAGGAGTTAGGTTATTTCCCCAGTGCATGCTGTAAGTAAAGCATTGAAAATAAAAAGTGTCTAAGATATTAGAATAAGATGGCATTCTTCTCACTGTGAATGAGTTTTTATTCTATTCTGTTATTAAAATAGGCTCTTCTTCCCAGAGGCATAACATTACTTCAATGTGACATCTCATTTAAAATTGTCCTTGAGAACAGCTAATAGTTATATTGTACCTGGTGTCATAATTTGGCTCAAAAGCTAAAAACTGGCCAAATTTGTTAGACATTTTATATAAAATTGACTAATGTCTGAAAAAATCATAAATTAGAGTGACACCTCTCAAAAAGTATTTAAATCCCACCACAATAAAAGTATGCCTTAAGTTCAATAGCAAATTTGATATTAATACAACCTTGTCAACTATTCAGTAAGGAGGACTTTTTGTCAGAGAAGGTTGTTAAAATGCCTGGAAATGATTGTACAGCAAAGTAGAGGCTTTCCTAGTGCTACAATCATTAGAAAAGACTTTAGAAATTGCTCAGTTTTTAGTGATGAAACAGTTCAGAAAAAGGAAGTCTAGGGCCTTGCATTTGATATTGGCAGTTTATTTGCAGACTAGAATCCAGCCATTCCAATGACCAGCCCAGTGCTCCTTCTAGGCCCTCTGCTCAGTTTAAGAGCATTCACCTTTCTAAGGGATTATCGAATTCAAGTTCTCCCCAGGGTATCATTTGTAGTAACTGGAACTGAGAGATGCTCAAGAAGAAAAAGAAAAAAAACAAAAAGGAACTTTTTGCAAAGACCTGATAAATCTTAGGAACACTGCATACTATAGCTCCTCCAGAGTATATCTCGTCCACATTTGCATATGAAAGTCATGTAAATTCATTGAAATTAAAAGTTTAGTTAACTAAAAAGACACTCAACTTTGTTTTTATTAACTTGAATATGAGATTCTAAGTTTATGGAGCGCCGGTTCCTGTTCCATAGTCCACAGCTCCTTGTGCAATATGAAGACTAGCCAAGCTCTGACAGTCTCCATGTCTTAAACCTGGCCCCTCTGTCTGAAGTGACTTTCCCTCTTTTTCTTCCTGTTGACAAGTGTCATGCCCTCTAAGAAGCTTTCCCCATCCCCTCCTGGCTTAGGTGTTCCTTCTCTACTTTTAAATGTCCTCTGAAGATATCTATTATAAAACATATCACACTATAGTTTGTAGTTGTGTTTTCTCTCTCCCCCACTACAGAACATGGTCCTTGAATTGTCTTTGTTCCCAGCTTGCATCAATTTCAGGAATAGAGCAGGTGCTTACTAAATGCAATCCCAGTAAATAAAATTTGTAGTTTTTCTTCAGGTATCTTTAGAAAAGAAAACCTAAGCCTTATTTGTGAATGTAATTTTTCCTTTTAGACAATATTTCATTTTCTGGCTGGGCATGATGGCTCATGACTGTAATACCAGCACTTTGGGAGGCCGAGGTGGGCAAATCACTTGAGGCCAGGAGTGGGAGACCAGGAGCCTGGACAACATGGTGAAACCCTTCCTCTACTAAAAATACAAAAATTAGCCTGGTGTGGTGGCGTACACCTGTAGTCCCAGCTACTTAGGAGGCTGAGGCATGAGAATCACCTGAACCCGGGAGGTGGAGGTTGTAGTGAGGCAAGATTGTGCCACTGCACTCCAGCCTGGGCAACAGAGTGAGACTCTGTCTCAAAAAAGAAGAAAAAATAATTTATATTACTTTGATCTTTCTATTATTCTGTCAACAAAATATATGTTCAATTGATTGCACTAGAGTTGAAAATTTCTGATGTCTTTCATATTATATACATTTATATATATTCATGTATATATGTGTGTGAGTGTATATTAATTATATATTTTGTGACTAATCTATTTAACTGTTAAGTATAACAAAGAAATTAGAGGACTGGTTTGGTTCACTTTAATTTTACTAACCTCTTTCTTATACTCTTCAGGAAGTCATGATGTGTTTACATTTTTGTCAAATCTGTGGTTCCTTGAAAAGACAGGTGTTCTTAATCCATCTGCCTCTGTATGTGAGCCTATAGCCCCTATCACTCTAATCCCACAGTGCTTTGACAAGCTTGCAATCTAAGGATCTGGGAGTGATAGAGCGGATATACTAAGCTATATAAACAGCAAAGAAGAAAAGCAGCTTGCATGTGCTTTAAATGTGATAAATTTCAGTAGCAAGGTATAACATTTATTATTTTAGTGTTTTTTCAGTTGGATTGAATTAAAACAACTTTCTCTCTGAGGGATTTGTTCTGGTCTCCCTTGTTCCAATACACCAGTGGGTTTTCTTGGGTATTGTGATACTTTATGATATAATTATGACAGGAAAGATGAATCTCACTTCGGACCTGCCCACTGTACCAAAAACCCACCCCAACACCATAGCGTAGATAGCCAGAATGAGTAAATTGCCCCGTCTTCAACTCTTTTTATAGCAATTACCTCTCACTCTTACTTAGCTTCCACTTTTTCTGTTGTTTTGATTTTACGTTTCTGAACATGTGGATTTATCACACATTTTAAACTGGCTTGCCCTTGAAATTAATAGCTGAGTCCGACTTCCTGATTTTGACCCTTGGCTCTCACTCACGGACTCAGTTTGTTCCCAATCAGAATGCTTTGTGGAAAATATTTGTTCTATCGAGTCTTAGGCTATGGTTTCACTCCAGTTCCATGCAGTACAAGGAAATTTCGAAGACTCATCCAGTCAATCTATCACATTTTCCCTGCATATAGTGCTCCAGGACAACAACACATGGGTGAAAATCTATTATATTTTTGAAGACCACTCTTCACCCTTTTAAGCAAAACAGTTTTAGAACTTCCCATGGAAGCTTAGTTCAGTATTTGACTGTTTTCCCTGCTACTGCAGACCTTTTCTCTCTAGTTTCAGTTGTTTTTGCAACTAGTGGCTCCTTTTTGCCCTTTAAGGGACTATGGGAGAAATGAAGTAAAAGAGGCAGTATCCTAAGGCAGTAGATCTTCGAGTGTGGCCCCTGGATCAGTGGCAGCAACAGTGCTTGGGAAACGCAATTTTGATTTCCATTCAGAACCTGCTAAATCTGAACTCTGGGGTTGGGGCCCAGCACTCTGAATTTTGAGAAAGCTCTCCAGGTGACTCCGTGATGCTTGAAGACATTTTAGAAACCCTGATGTCATAGTTGAGTATAGACTCTTCACATAAACTGGCTGCTGTGGGCTGAATATTTGCATCCTCCTAAACTCACAAGTTGAAGTCTAATCGCCAATGCGATGGTATTTGATGGAAGACTCTTGGAAGGTAATTAGACCATGAGCGTGGAGCCTTCAAGAATGGAATTAGCACCCTTATAAAACAAACCTCAGAAAGCTTATTCACTGTTTTCTGCTATGTGAGAACACAAGGAAAAGGTTGCCACCTGCCACCCAGAAGAGAGTCCTCACCAAAACCTGAGCAAGCTGGCTGTCTTACCTTGGAATTCCAGTCTCCAAATCTGTGAAGAATACATTTTTGTTGTTTATAAGCCACCTAGTTTATGGTACTTTGTCCTGGGGATAATAATGTAATTGGCATAATTAGGTTAAGATGAATAAATAATTAACATAGGTAAAGCCCTCAGAATGGTGCCTGCCACAGAGTAGGATGTTTGATTTTTATAATTATAGAAAAACAAAAAGAAGGCATTGACAATGCATTCCAAACATTGGCAAGGTGAATAAAATACCAGCATACATGAAATAGGTTCATGTGTTTACATTATTATAATAATATTTTTTTTTGGTAATTTTATTCTGTTCTGCCTTTGATATGATTAGTTTTTAGTCGCTAGGTTGAACTGCTTCTTAATTTTAAGGGTAAGTTAGGAGGAAGAACAAGTGTATCTTTCCCCCCTTATTAAATAAGTCATAGTCAGGCTTGGAAATGAAAAAGTAAAAGTGCAGTAATTAATTGTTGTGTTCTATGAAATAAAAAAATCTTCTGTTTGGAAGAGCCTCAGAGATCAGTTGTTGCAGCCACCTAACAAACACAGAAATTTACTCAAAAGTACCACGGACAAGGCTTTGTCATCCAAAACATCTTCGGTGAGGGAAGTTTCACCACCTCATGAAGCAGGATGTCACTTTATTGGGCATTTTAAATTGTCAGAATAAAGGGAAACTTTCCTTCTCTTAGTTTCTGTCCTTTCACTTGCAATCTGCAAGACAAAGTACAAGCTAATTAACCTCTAAGAGCCTCTGATTCTCTTCTTTCTCTGGAACAGCGATAAGCCTGTCAACCTTGCAAAAGTACTGTGACCATTCAATGTGAAGCACTCATAAGTGCACCAACAAATGATGTCTCTCTAAGGAGAAACTTCTGTAGAATAGGATTGTGCTAAGGCAATTGGAGGTAAAAGTCTTTAATACTGCTCTTTCTTTAGGGCTGATAATTGTGTGAGGTGAAATTTTAATATAGAGGACAAGATATAGAAAAAGAATTGGGTCTTAGCAAAAGGGGGTCTAGGTTAAAGAAAAGGTCTGTAGAAACCAATGCATATTTTACAGCTAACATTTTAATGCTGTTTTGTAGTATAGTGTCTTCTGACAATTCTTACCTTGACAGTTCTCAGTGCTGTCTATGAGATAGCCTTATTTTTGGCAATATTGGAAAGTACTTTCCAAGCTTGCCTGCTTATTTAATCTTTCCTACTCCTTGATATAGTTCTTCCCACTTGTGTTTGCAAGTGTTTGGATGTCACCTTTTTGTTAATTAACTCCTTTATTTTTTTGGTCTCTCTTTTGTGTGCTCTGCAGATTTCTTTTTTTCTTTTTTCCTTTTGGTTTCCTAGTGACAGCTTCCTTTCAATTCCTCTTCTCTGTTTGCCTCTCCTGAGAAGGAGCCAGTGTCAAAATGTTAGCTCAGTCGGGTTTCCCATTACCAGCTCTGCAAGTCCCCAGGCCCCTCCTGTATTTAGCAGGCTAGAAGTCACTGTGGCCCAAACATCATTTTCAAATTGTCATGTAGATAAATTCACAAGGCTCAGGGAAAATAGAAAAAAAAAAACACCTGTGAAATAATGATTACTATTGCTTTACCTTATGCCCACTTCATGTTAGATTTATCTAAATTCTTTCATTGGAAGCTGATAGAGCTATGCTGTAACTGTGAAATTAATTATCAGCTAGGAGGGCTAAGGACTTAAGGTGTGAAAATTGCTGGTTGACAAAGGGCCATTGTTCCATTACATCTTAAAACTGAAGTAGACAATGTAAACTAGTCTGAAAACCTGTCTAAAGTTTATTAGTCTGTTAACAAATACTCCTAGAAGATGTCTCATGGAGAAAAATTACTCAAGGAACAACGAGAACAAAATAAAAAGGAAATAGGCAACTTCTAGATATAGTGTTTTCTCTGACTTTGAATATTTTAAAACAGATACTTGGGCATTAATTGCAAAATATTCAATTATCACAAAGCAAGATAGGTTAGGTGAGATGGGAATAAGTGATTGCTCTCTGCCATGTGACTTCTTTGGAGAATTGGCCTTTCCTCAATTATTTGATCCTGGCCATGTGACCAATTCAGTAGTCTGCTTTACCCCAACAGATATAGGATGCTATTTAGGGAGTCCAACAGACTAACCCAATCTTCTAGCACAGTGATTTGTATAAGCAAGACATGTGACCAAAAAAGCACCAACGAGAGACTGCTTGATATTTGAATAAACAGATATTCCATACTAGGTTGAAAGTTGTTACCAATATACTTCGTCAGTAGGCGTCTTTCCACTTTTCTGAAGAATGCTTCTCTTCGGAGAGAAGCCAACTGAGAGAAGGAAATGAAGATGATAGTTGAAGAGAGAAATACAGTGTTCTTGATAAAATTCTCAGAGCCCCTGGCTCCAGCCATGCTAAGCCAGCTCTGGAAAGTTTTATGAGTTCATAAATTCATTTTACTTGAGGTATCTGAGCTGAGTTTCTGATACTTCCTACCAAAATACTTCGGACTAATATAGAAACTCTATTAAGAATGCTCTCAATTCCAAGGTAAGGTATTCTTTATTGAGTGCCTAAATAAGATAGGCCTATTATGAGACTGGAAGGAAAAATATATCTAAGAGACATACCTTGGCTTTCATGGACTGTTCATCTCTTTGGGAAAACAAGAAACAGTACATGAACAGAGACCCCTAGTATACTCGAGGGTAAAAAAAATTAAGTAAAGAAAAGAAGAAAATATACTCCTAAGGAGTTTCAGAAAGCTGTTTTTAGCAGGCAGAAACTAAAAAATTAAACTACCACAGTGTTGCTTGACAAATAGTTTCTAAAAGCTTCAAAAATTAGTACAAGGACTTCTTCAAGGGAAATCAACATTTACTTAAATTAACTGAGAAATTGGAACAATCGGTAATTGAAATATTAGTCACAATGACATACAGTGGACACAGTTACTTACCTCGTGGGGCTTAAATTCTAATAGAGTAAAGGGCCTGTAAACATGTAAACACATAAGTGAGGAAAGTACTTTGTACTGTTCGTAAAAGTACTTATTGCACTCTGTAAATAGAATAATGTGATAAAACTACATACTAAATGGGAGAGAGCCCGTAGGGGTTTGTGATGTTTAAACTGACACAAATGAGAAGAATGAGAAGAAACCTGCAATTTCAACAGCCAGCAGAAGAGGTAATAGCAAGTGCAAATATTCTGACATTGCAAAGACTCTTGAAGTTCCAAAAAACCTAAAGAAAGCCAATGTGCTTGCAGCGTTCTCAGCAAGGCAGATTGGCTTGGAGAGTTTGGAGACCTAATGCACCAGAAGCAAGGTCTTGCAGGGCTTTTAAGACAATGGCAGCATTTAGTTTCAATCAAATGACAACAGAAATAAAGGTTTTAAGAGAGAGAGTGGCATGATCCACATTTTCAAAATATCATTGTGGTTATTGTATAGAGGATGCTTCTTGGCCGAAGAAGTAAAAGAAGGAAGATGCTAGTGCCTTGGATGAGGGTGAAAATGAACGGTACTGAATGCATGTTTTTTTGAGGGACATTCATACATTGTTTGTTCAGTTCGGTAATCTCCATGGTTCCTTTCAAATCTACTCTAGAATCTTAGAAAGTTTTTCTGTATTTATGTGTAAATATACAAGACTGATGGATACAACAGTAAAACTATTAGGTTGGTGCCAAAGTAATTGCGGTTTCAGACCATGAATTTTAAATCATTATAACTAGGCTCAAACACATCTTCATTAATCAAAATAGGAACCATTACAATCAACACTTTTTTCCTTCCAATGAGAAATAAGTTTTTTTATTCTTGTAGCATAAAAATCCATGCTTCGGGATTTGATGAACTCTTGGAAAGGATTTTCTGGATCCTGCTGGGTGTGGAAGTGTTTTCCCTGCACAAAGTCGTCGAGATGCTTGAAAAAGTGGTAGCTGGTTGGCAAGACGTCAGGTGAATATGGCAGTTGAGGCAAAACTTTGTAGCCCAATTCGTTCAACTTTTGAAGCGTTGGTTGTGCAACGTGCGGTTGGGCATTGTCCAGGAGAATTGGACCCTTTCTGTTGACCAATGCCGGCTGCAGGCGTTACAGTTTTCTGTGCATCTCACTGATTTGCTGAGCATACTCCTCAGATATAATGGCTTCACTAAGCTGTAATGGATCACACCAGCAGCAGACCACCAAACAGTGACCATGACCTTTTTTTTTGGTACAAATTTGGCTTTGGGAAGTACTTTGAAGCTTCTTCTTAGTCTAGCCACTGAGCTGATCATAGCTGGTTGTTGTATAAAATCCACTTTTCATCACACATTACAATCTGATCAATAAATGGTTCATTGTTGCATAGAATAAGAGAAGATGACACTTCAAAACGATGACTTTTTTTTTTTTTTTTGGTCAGCTCATGGGGCACCCATTTATGGAACGTTTTTACCTTTCCAATTTGTTTCAAATGCGGAACTATCATAGGATGGTTGACATTGAGTTCTTCAGCAACTTCTTGTGTAGTTGTAAGAGGATCAGTTTTGATTGCTCTCAACTATTCGTTGTCAACTTCCAATGGCCAGCCATTATGCTCCTGGTATTCAAGGTTCTCGTCTCCTTTGCAAAACTTCTTGAACCACCATTGCATTGTATGTTCATTAGCAGTTCCTGGGCTACATGCTTTATTGATGTTGTGAGTTGTCTCTACTGCTTTATGACCTATTTTGAACTCAAATAAGAAGATTGCTCGAATTTGCATTTTGTCTGACATCGTCCTATATCACCATATGTAGTTCAGAGACTCCTGACACTAGTGAAGCTGATATAGGTGAGATCCCAGCATTCTGATTCCCTCGCTGAAGCTGATCACAATTCTGGCTTCACAGACAAGTTAGCGACTTTTCTGAGTTTCTTCTGAGAATCCCTTTAAGTCTCAGGCTTCCTGAAAATCATTGGCCAGACCCTGCTTCATTTTGCTCTGTTGTTGTTTCCAAGAAGGTTTTCTGAAGTAGTTTTCTGTTCAGATGCAGACAGTAGTGGAGCAACCTTTCTAAGGAGAAGATACTTAATGAGAAAATAATATATGTACAGGTGTAGATAAGGGGTCATTGTAACCACAGACATGAAATTCAATATATATTACTTTGATGTGCACATTTAATCCTAGAAGAATGCTTTTAGATGAAGCATTCTTCTACTGCTTCTGAATGGTGTACAGCAAAACCTTATTTTTCAGATCCCTTCTAGCTCAGCCTAACGTATGAGCTGACAGGATTCCTTACACCTTGGCCGGGTGCTTCAAGAAGTGCTCATCATCACAAGTCACTTGCAGGACTCTAGAATCATATTAAGAAAAAAAAAACTATTAAAAGGCTTAAATAAAAATGAGCTCAAATCCCTCAAGAAGTGTTCTTTTACCTTGTCCCTGTTTATTTCCTTGTTTAAAGACTGCTTAACGTCTGGGCGTGGTGGCTCACGCCTATAATCCCAGCACTTTGGGAGGCTGAGGCAGGTGGATCACGAGGTCAGGAGATTGAGACCATCCTGGCTAACATGGTGAAACCCCGTCTCTACTAAAAATACAAAAAAATTAGCCAGGCGTGGTGGCAGGTGCCTGTAATCCCAGCTACTCGGGAGGCTGAGGCAGGAGAATGGCGTGAACCCGGGAGGCGGAGCTTGCAGTGAGCCGAGATCGCGCCACTGCACTCGAGCCTCGGCGACAGTGAGACTCCGTCTCAAAAAAAAAAAAAAAAAAAAAGACTGCTTAACTAACTGCATGCGATGAATCCTTCGGGATTAACGCTGATAGCAATTTTGTTTTCTATGGAAAAGCTCTCAGTGTTATATATGTATTTTAATGTTTATTAATGTTTGGTTATTTTAAAATATATTTTATTTATGTATTATGTATTTCAGCTTTTTAATTAAATTACCTATAAACCTCTATAACTTCATTTTGAATTACTTGATCTGTCTAAGACTGAGAAAGTTGTATTGAAGTAACATTCCATTTTCTAAGAGCTTTTACTATTTTGATTCAATATTTTGTTACATAGTGATTTATGACTCTTAACGCCATTATAAATTGTGCCTTTTAACAATTTGAAATTGTTTTCTTTCCTATCTAATGTTGTTCAGACTTGATTTTCATTCAGTCTGAAGTAAATAATATCTCAGAATTTTTTGCCAATCATTCCGTCATTCTTAAAACTACATTCATTTAAACAGCGTGTATTTGACTTGGGAGAATAGATAATCTGAAAACGTTTATTACAATTGAGATGCTTAGAAACAATTTCCGTCTATTGTCATCATTAATATAGATTTCTAGAAATGAAGTAAAAAATTCTGATACACACGTATTTAATCAAAATTTTCTTCATCTTTAGTAAGTGTCCTTTAACAAATATAATCTTTGAGAGTCAAACATTGAGCTAAGAAATGTATTTGTGACTTGGAAACGGGTAACCCTTAGTTTTCTATTTTTTGTATTAATCAGAATAGAGTGGGCTATTCTGAAGTAATTAATAGGTAGAAGAATGAAAAGAAAAAAGCTCTGTAGCTTAACACATTTGAGGACTCCCGTTGCAGTTGTGGCACAGCAACACGCCAAATTGAATGATTCGTATCCATGCATTCTAGGTGTTTCCCTTTCCAATGGTGACTCAGAAATCCAGGCTGTTTTCACCTTGTGGCTATGCTACTACCAGGGCTCCACGGCTCCTGAGTTACTACTGCAGCAGTGGGGATTGTGTTGTAGACAGCACTTCCATTCACCTTCCTTCTTTTACATTTCTTTCACATTTTTGCTTATTTCCTGGGAGAGCTTTTTCATTTGTCCTCTCTGCTATTAATCCAATCTGATGCCTTGCCTGTTTTCCTTTCTCCTTTTCACTTGCATATATCCATTTTGCTGAAGCATTTTCAGTTGTCTTACAGTCTTTCTCCACCATCAAACAGCTGTTGTTTTTCCTCATAATTACACATTGTTAACCCGGAGACAAAATGCTAAAGAGAGAAAACTTCTTTCATAGAGACAGGTATTTGAATTCTTTGGAAAATGCCGAACATTTCCCTACATTTTCTTATAGGTTTCACTGTAATTTTTGTTGAATGATAAGGTCATCTGAATCTTCACGATGATATGCTATTCGTCTTTTCAAGCTCAGAAGGCTCACTTTAAATTATTATTTTTTTATTTTTAAATGACACATAGTAATTATGCATATTTATGGGGTACACTGTGATATTTCAATACATGTATACCATGTGTAGTGATCAAATCAGGGTAGTTAGCATATTTAGTATCTCAAAACTTCATTATTTCTTAATGTTGGAAACATTCAAATTCGCCTTTTCTAGCTATTTGAAAATACGCAATAAATTGCTGTGACTCATAGTCACCCCACAGTGTTTTTCTGCCTATTTGCATGGGTTGGGAAGTGATCTGAACTGACTCGATTGAATCTACAAGTTTGTGGGTCAAACTTGATCCTGATCCTATCAGATGCCCCTTTTGCCCGGCCTGGTGCCCTCACCCTGATTCCAGCTGAAGGGAAAGTTCTGTGTGAGCCCTGGCTCACTTGGCTATGACAGCTTCTCATCCCACTCAGGAGTCTTGCTATCTTTTCTTGGGTTTCTTAGGTGCCAAAGCTGTGTCACAACTCAGAATTGTGACGTGGCTAACACTCTCTGAGACAATTTTAAAAAAGCAGGAAATAAGAGCCAAAGACAAATGCTTCCTTTTCCACTTGTCAATTCTGAGAGAGCTTCTTTCTTTCTTCCAAAGGCTCTAGCAGGGTCTGGCTCCAGCGGCCCGCACGCTTACCCACTTAACAGAACACACTTCTATTGCCTTCTTTCTTGCCTGCTTCCCTCCCCACATCCCCCTGTTCCTGTTCCCTCGTATTTCCTCCCAAACCAAGTTTTTATATACAATTCTCCATTTTCACACTCTGCTTTTGGTGTGTACCATGTTGAGAAACTGGTTGAGGTTACTTGATCTCAACTGGTCTAAGAGACCCCTTTCTCATTTTTCAGATCTAGAGTGAGACTTCTTAGATTATGAGTAAAGCTTTTTGCTTTCTTTTGCTAGTTTACCAAGCAATCCATAGGGTAGTTTTATACACTGATGCATAATGTCACCCTGAACTTTTTCCTGATTGTCTAAAATACTCAACCAAGAGTATATCTAAAGGTAAAATTCCCAGTCATATTTCTTAACATAGATAGACATGTCTATATTTTATCTGCTGGTTTTCTACTTTCCAACATGATGAGCTACCATTCTGCTCCCCCCATCATGCCATATTATTTTTTCATAATTAATTGTTCATATTGTAATATAGAAAAAGGGGTAGTGAGGCCGGGCGCGGTGGGTCACGCCTGTAATCCTAGCACTTTGGGAGGCCGAGGTGGGTGGATCACCTGAGGTTGGGAGTTCAAGACCAGCCTGACCAGCATGGTGAAACCCCGTCACTACTAAAAATACAAAAATTAGCCGGGCATGGTGGTGCATGCTTGTAATCCCAGCTACTCAGGAGGCTGAGGCAGGAGAATAGGTTGAACCAAGGAGACAGAGGTTGCAGTGAGCCGAGATCACACCATCGCACTCCAGCCTGAGTGACAACAGGGAAACTCCTTCTCAAAAAAAGAAAGAAAAAGAAAAGGAGGTAGTGATCTAGTCAGTCCCGGGAGAAATAACATCCTATAGCCATAACAAATATAGTAACTATATCAAAGAAGGACAGTTAGAAAAAAATTGTGATTGGAATAAACCTAGGGTCTTTGGCTCTGGGGATAGTATCGAGGGAGAGAATGTATTATCTTTCTTTCTAAACTAGAACGCCTTTCTCCTGTGGTTTTTTTAAACAGGGAAAAATGTGTTGCCATCAAATCAAATTCTGAACTGAGCAACAGAGACGTTAGACAAAACTTACAAAGATTGGTTAGGGAGAACTTTATACTGCCTGCCTTAACTTTTGATTGTGTCATCAGTTTAATGTTATGTGCTTTCACAGGAAATAGGAAAGCTGAGAGATGCAAAAAAAAAAAAAAAAGGATTGCCGTTTAGATGTAACACTAAACTTTTAGAACCTGTAGTTATATTCTTCAGTAGTTTCTAACTCATAAGGGAATAATATTATCTTGCATTTTCCAGTTTGCTAAAGCAAATTAACTACATTGTTGACTTTCTGTGGTCTCCGTTTGAATGGGAAAAGCAATAAAATGAAATAATGGTAATAATCATAGTTGCCGGAAGGTTTTTCTCCACCATGCATATAAGAGACATGAACACCCATAAATAAAGACCCATATGATCAGATCTTCTTCAAACAGGTCACTAATTAGCTTCTATAATTAATACCTCACTATAGGAGGAAGAGCCAGGTAATTATCTGGTATATTCTGAAGGTGAGCCACCCCATTTTAAGTAGCCATCATCCTAGAAATACAGCTGTAGAATAACAACTTCTTCTGCATGTTTAAAGGAGTCATAAACCTCTCTAGCAGTCCTACCTACAGCTGTATAAAGCACCTCTTCCTGTCTGTATTAGCAGAAAATTATAGCATAAAAGATTTATCTTTTTGCCCATGGTGCCAATAGCTTATTTTATTTTTTAAGACAACCATATTTCTTGATGCAAGATATTTAAACAATGTGAACATTTCTTGTGCAATTAAAATTTAGCTCTTTTGTCTGGGCACAGTGGCTCACTCCTGTAATCCCAGCACTTTGGGAGGCCGAGGCAGGTGGAACACCTGAGGTCAGAAGTTCAAGACTAGCCTGGCCAACATGGTGAAACCCTGCCTCTACTAAAAATACAAAATTAAGCCAGGCGTAGTGGTGAACGTCTGTAATCCTAGCCACCCCGAGGCTGAGGCAGGAGAATTGCTTGGACCCAGGAGATGGAGGTTGCAGTGAGCTGAGATCACTCCACTGCACTCCAGTCTGGGCGACAGAGTGAGACTCTGTCTCAAAAAAAAAAAAAAAAAAAAAAAAAAAATTAGCTCTTTCATTTTTAATGTAATTGTTATAAATTTCTACTTCCTAACCTATTCAGCTCACATAGTATTTATCCCTTGTAAGTGACTACTACCCACTCAGGAAGACTTGTATGGGCTGAAGAGAGTGATCAGAAAGAATCGTAAGACAAGGGAATGAATCAGAGTTCATGTCATGTAATCTATATATTCTTTAAAAGACATTAAACTTTTTCTTGATATGTTGTTTCCTATTAAGATACCGTGTCCTTATTTTTAATCTAATTTCTTGAATTGTGTTTTACACATTTACATCTATCTATCATCTATCTGTCTGTCTATGTATCTATCTGAAGTAGGAAAATACATACATATATGCCCACATTTATCGTCTTATCTGTTTAAGCTAATTGAATTTCCTGTTATTGTTATAAGAATAAAAATATTGCCAATCTAAACACCTTAACCTAGGCTGGTACTGTGTTGATTATCTTACTTATATTAGTTCTAATTCTTACAAAAATTTGAGTTGTAGTTTTTAATCTCCGTTTTACACGAGTAGTTTGAGGCTCAGAAATATCCATACACTATATTCAAGGTACTCAAAATTTTGACTGATTTTAGTAAACCTCAAAATACTAGTTGCATTACTTGATAGCTGTCTTTGTTTACCAGTAATATGATTGGCATTTTTACTTAGGTACATAACTATGAACATATCATGACACTATCATGGAAATAAAACTGCAGTTAGATTCGGTTACTGAGAAAACTCTGGCCCATTGAACAAATTCAGTTAGCCCCCTTTTTTCTAAATAAAATTTTGTTGAGACACAGTCCTGCCCAATTGTTTACATATTGTCTGTGTCTGCCTTCACATTACAATGACAGAGATGAGTAGTTGTGACAGAGACCATAAGGATCATAGCCTAAATAATTTACTCTCTGGTCTTTGGGCCTTTACAGAAAAAAGTTGCCAATGCTAGGACTAAATAATTACTGTAGAAACTGTACTGCTGTAAAGTTTTGTCAAATCACTTGCATTTGCAATGACCATTGTTCATAGGGTTTGATTATTTAAAAAATTGAATCACAATTACCTAAGGGAAAAAGATTAATGAAAACACAATAAACTAAGGTCTAGTAATTCCATTTACTTCATACTCCTTGCAGAATCCAAGAATTCTTTTTATGACATGCTCTGAGCCATTTTGCAAGGTTGTAGTGTGGAAATTGTCAGCCACATTTTAAGGAATATTTAACTATCCTTCATTAGGTATGAAGGGACTCTCTCTTGCCTTTTTATATATTTTCTATTTTACTACTCTCACTAGTGAATCAGTGGTCTTCAAGACTGAAGCAGTAAGTACATTTAATTATATTCACACCTAAATTCAATGCCTGTAGTCACTTATGTTTTGTAAAAGATACTGTGGAGGCTGAGATATAGATGTAAATTCTCTCTGATGGACATTCTATTGAAAAGTTCAAGTGACTGAGGAGCCGTACTTCTGTATAGCAAATGGAGACTCCTTTAAAGTTTATATTCATGAGAAAATAGCCCAGGTCTGAGACTATTGCACTGGAATGAAAGTTGGAAAATCCAGTGCATTTCTTCATGGAAGAAAGGAAAACATTGCAGGCTTTCTTTTTTTTTTTTTTTCCTTTTTATCTTTGATGGGAAAATAGAAATATAAATATACTCAGTGTGTCAAGCCCTGAGATAGACACTTTCCCTACATTATTCTATAGTCATCATGATTTCTTAGTATACACATGAGAAAACATTGTCTGAGAGTGGTTAAATTACTTCTTGAAGCCAACACAGCTATTAAGTTGTGAACTTTAATAGTTGTGAACTTTATTAAGTTGTGCCCAGTCTGTGAATTGTAACTCACATGTCTTTTATTCCAATATTCTCATAGATATATAAGAATATCTTTTTATTAGCAACATAACTTGACAATCAGCAATTCACCATACTCTTTGAACATAATGCAATAAGATGGATAATTATTTTTTAAATTAATCATTATATCTGTTATTATCCTTGTTAATTCTACTAAATAGGTACTTCAGTTTCTCAGCTTATATGTAGTGTGGTAGGTTTAAAATGTTAGAGGAGAGAAACATCTATTCTGTGAAAATAGATGTTCTCTTAATAGTCTGGTCCCCATTCCTTAAAAACAATTTGGTACATTCTGGCAATATTCTTAATATTATGGGTCTCTCTACCTGGGATACTATTTCAATCCCTAAATGTTTTTCTCGACTCTGTAATGAGCTCTGTTATTCCCTCTACATGGTCTTCTCTGCTGTATTCATTCAGTTCCAAGGGCTCAACTAGATATGCTGTATATTTCCAGTGGACTAACCCACAGACACTACCCCCCGCCCCACCACCCCCCAAATTCACCTCCCCAGATGGGTCATGTTTTGAACTAGGCTCCAAAACATGCTCTTCATCTGAACCATTTCAGTATTTCCATGATGGAAAAGGAAGAATCAGTATGACATACACAACCTGTTTTTAATTAAAATTTTCGTATTTTGTTCATCATAGATTTTTTTGCATGTTATCATTTTTTAAATTGCATTAAATATTATTTATTTTGATTACTGAGTTTTTTTTTTGTTGTTGTTGGCATTTCCTTACATTTGGTGTCTATAGTGAGTACCTCACTTGCTTTTCCTTAGTCCCTTCCCTGATGGGATCGATTACCAAGGCCTGAAGACAATCTAACTGGGCTTCAATCCTAGGTCTACCAGTCCTTGGCCAAGCTTCCTTGAGCAAGTTGCTTAACCTCTCAGTGCATCGTTTTTTTCACATATACATTGAGGATATAACGACGTAGCCAAAATGGGTATTGCAAGTTTCAAAGAAATAATATATAGGAAACATTTAGAATATTCCTAGCTAATTTTAAGTGCCATTAAATCATTTATTATTAATATATTTGAAATCTTGCTGATCAAAAGATGTTTACATTAGAATTCTACCTTCATATGTAATTCATTTACTAAATCAGTATCTCTCAGAATGAGGCCAAAATTCAGTATTTAAAGAAATAAAAGATGATAAAATATTTTCTTGTGTGATTCTGATGATTAGCCTTGCTTGGGAAGTACTGCGTAGGATGAGACACTTTAATGTCTCTTATTTTTACCCATTTCTCGCCCTCTGCAATGTCTAAGACTTGGTTCAGATTGTAATTGCTTCATGCCTGAAATAATTCAAGACTATTCTGCATGGTTCCCCTTTCTCTAAAATTATAACATTGTAGAAAATTGGGGAATAGTGTAGCTATTTGAAAACACATTTGACCCTATTACCTTCCTTGAAAATCTTGAGAGTCAATGTTAGAGTGAGACAGGAACTTTGAACTCTTTAGTGAGTGCATAAGGTTCCTAATGATTGAGATCATGTTCAAATCTCCAGGTCCGTCTGTGTACATGCCATTTGAAAGATCTGGAACACCATTTCCTACTACGGCGTTGGTCTTTCTGTGCACTTGTAAGCATTGTTTTCACTGCTTACTCATCCCACCCATCTGTCCTTGCTACTGTATTTAATATGTTCTCATCCTTCAAAACGTAGCTCTAATGCAGTCACATCTGAGACACTCTTCTTAACCAGTCTACGGATATACAAGTATATCTCTTCTATGGCAACATTGGTCAATGTAGGTGTTTTGGTCAAGTCTGCACCATATGTTCCAGAGAGCACAGAAGAATATACCTACCACTTGACTGTAAATTCCCTGAGGTCAGTTACCCTGAAAGTATAATTTTGTTAATAGTTACTGATACATAACTTTCTCATGCGTGGAACTCTTAAAACATTGTCAAACAAATGAGTGGAAAATGAATGGATAGAAAGATCAGCCTTTTACACTAAAATGCTTGAAATATCCATGGGCTCTATAAAATTTAGGGTAATCATGCTTAGCTTTTGTGACTAGGAGGTAGACAAGTAATTTACCTTTCTTCTTTTCTTTTTTCTCTTCTTTCCTCTCCTCTCCTCTCCTTTTCTTTCCTTTCTTTTCTTTTCTTTTTTTCATTTTCCTTCCTCCCTCCCTCCTTCCTTCCCTTCTTTTCTTCCTTCCTACCTTCCTTCCTTCCTTTCTACCTTCCTTGTAATCAAACTGTCACCAAGCCCAAATGATTTTATCTTCCAAATAATATCTCATGAAACCATCTACTTCTTTCCGTTTCCACTCTGCACCCAAAGTAGTCATTTCAAAGCACATATCTGATATCTAACTTCTCTTTGGATAAAGAGTAAACTGAAATAGACTTCCTGGTTTTCCATAGTCCAATTTTACCTATGTATGCAACCTTATTGTGGTAGATTATATTTTCCCAAAGATGACTGCCACAACGTGTCTTATCTCACATGATGTTCTTACCATGTGATGTTCACGTTCTCGTTGAGTCACACAATATATCCACCCTTTCCTTGAAACTGGACCACCATTTGACCAACCTGATCAAAACAGTAACGTCAAAGCAATGCTAAGTCATAAATACGCCAAGCACTTCTGCCTTGTTCCCTTGAGTACTGACTCTGATAACCCAGTTATGCTGAGAAGAAGCTGAGTAGCCATGTGGAGAAGGCACATGAATATTTTCCAGCTGACAGTCTCAACTTCTCAGCTGACAGCCAAAAATACATGCTGGATATGTATGTGATGCTGCCAGACTTTAGCTGTTGAGTCTCACTTTCAAGCCACCCCTGTTCTAGCTACATGGAGGAGACACAAGCTGTCCCAATTGAGCCCTGCCCCAAATTATAGATTTATCAGCAAAATTAATGCTATTGTTGTTTTAAGTTACTAAGCTTTGTGGTGATTTGTTACATGGCAATAGCTACCTAAAACACTCATCATGAACCATATCACTCCTGTGTTCTGTGCTCTAGCCACACTGGCCTTCTTTCAGATCTTCATGGCTTCTCTGTTCTTCCTTGCTTTCACAAACTGTTTTCTCTGCATAGGATGCTTTGTCTCTCTCCTGCTTAACTTCATCAATCAATTCATTTTTATCCTGTAGGTCTCTGCTCAAACTTCACTTCGAGAAAGCCTTCTCGGACTTCCAGCCTAGTTCTTAGACCTTTTATTCCCTGTTCCCCTCACAGTTATATTTTTTTCTTGTTGAAATTACAATTTGATTATGGTCTATCTCACAGACTAGACTAACATCCTCAGGAGGGCCAGTCTCTTTGATCCGATTGGCATATCCCAGATCCTGCTATAGTGTGTGGCATATACCAAATATTTTATAAGTATTTTCCATATTAATGATAAAAATGATTTAATAATGATTCAAAATATGTATCTAATTATTAATATGTCTCCCATAATGTTCTAGGTGCTAGGAATTTGCTGTGAACCAGGAAGACCAGGTTCCAGTCTGTATGGGTTTCATGCTGTCATGGGACAGAGAGAAAAATACAGAAAAAAAATTCAAGTAGTTGTAGCATGTTATGGATAAACACTAATCAGTGTACTGGAAGGGAAAGAGAAGGAGGATGGGGTGGGTATTTTGACAGAACTGACTTAAAAGATGATATTTAGGAATCTGAGCAAAGATGTATTTCAGGAAAAGGAAAAAGCAAGTGAAAACTTTTGCAGTAGAAGCAGATAGGTCATTTAAAAATGAAGGGGGGCCTAGTGCTGTGGCTCACGCCTCTAATCTCAGCACTTTGGGAGGCCGAGACAGGTGGATCACTTGAGGCCAGAAGTTCGAGACCAGCCTGGCCAACATGGTGAAACCCAGTTTCTACTAAAAACACAAAAATTAGCAGGGCATGGTGGCATGTGCCTGTAATCCCTGCTACTTGGGAGGTTGAGGTGGGAGGATCGCTTGAACCTGGGAGGCAGAGATTGCAGTGAGCTGAGATCACACCACTGCACTCCAGTTTGGGCGACAGAGTGAGAATCTGTCTCAAAAATAATAAATAAATAAATAAATAAATAAATAAATAAAAGAATAAAAAGGAAGGTAAAGTGGGTCAGAGTGACCAGAGAGTGAAGGTGAGAGAGGAAAATGAATTGGTGATTGGACTCCAGCTTATTGTCAGTATTGTAAGATGGAACAGACTTTGGATTTCCTTTTCTAAGTGTGATGGAAAAAACTACTGGTAAGTTATGAATAAAGAAGATTAATGTGACTTATTTATGTTTTAAAATATTTCTGCATGAAAAATGTACTCTTTTGGGTGATCTACTATAGTTGGGTGATGTGCTGGAACAAATAAATACTCGTCTAGAAAAGAGACAATGGTGGCTTGTATTAGGTTGGTGTAAAAGCAATTGTGGTTTTTGCCATTAAGTTAATTGCAAAAACCACAATAACTTTTGCACCAACATAAATACTAGAGGTTTTGTAAAAATAGTGAAAATTGTTCACAGCCAGGTGTGGTGGCACGTACCTGTTGTCCCATCTGTGCAGGAGGCTGAAGAGGGAGGATCGAGCCCAGGAATTTGCGACCATCCTGGGCAACATACAGAGACCTCATCTCTAACAAAAAGTCCTCACAGGCTTTATTTAGCAGGTAGCACCAGTGGAATTTGCTGAATTAATGAATGAGTTAGTCTATCCTCTCGGACATCACTCCCTTTTCTCCTTCTGATACGGTTTGGATATTTGTCTTCTCCAAATCTTATGTTGAAATTTGACCCCCAGTGTTGAAAGTAAGGCCTGCTCTGAGGTGTTTGGGTCATGGGGGCAAATATTTCATAAATGGCTTGGTGTCATTTTCATGGGATTGAAAGCATTCTCACTATTAGCTCCCAGGAGATCTGATTGGGTAAAAAGAGGCTGGCACCTCCTCCCTCTCTCTCTCTCTTTTCTCCTCTCTCACCAAGTGATGCCTGCTCCCTTACCCCTTCCACCATGAGTGGGGGCTTCCTAAAGCCCTCACGAAAAGCAGATGCTGGCACCATGTTTCTTGTACAGTCTGCAAAACCGTGAGCCAAATAAACCTTTGTAGATTACCTAGCCTCTATTTGATTCCTTTATAGGAAATCAAATAGACTAAGACCTTTTAACAACTTTTTTATGCATTCCTTTTCATTCTCACTTTTCTGTCATTATTCTGCAGTCCTCTAAAACTCTAGCCAAATATGCAGGTCCTCTGTAATTTTTCATGTGCATCTGGTGCTTAATGACAAAATTAAAGTCATAGAAGTTGAAAATCTGTTTCAAATCACCATTTCAAGGGTCTAAGTTCTTTAAATTTGCAATTCTTTTCCTTGTTGCAATAAACAAGAAATCCTCCTTGGATACTTCTGTTAATGTGTATGATTGTATTCTTCCCTCCCACCCATACAAGATTAATCTCTTCCTCCAATACACAAGTGCCTATGCAGCTTTACAGGTGAATTAATTGTTCATTTCATTTCATTTTTTTTTTCAAATGAGCTCCAGTTTACTTCTCCTCGATTTGTCTTTGGCAGATTTATTTTAAAAGTCTTTTATTTCAGTTTCTAAAGTATTTATCCTCTGGGTCTACTCTTTTTTTTTTTTTTTCCATGTACGATAGGAGACTAATTATTCTTCTTCTAATGAATGTTCTAAATGTATCCCATATGGTGGCATATGTGTGTTCAGACCAAAAATGCTTTGGGATAAAATAAGTAAATTCCTCTCATGGGGTTTCCCTACAAGCTTTGTTTTGTAACAGTGATAAGTTCAAAAATCCATAGACTGTAGGTTGTTGTAGAAATCATCTTCTTCCTCTGACCTTCCTCATTTTACAGATAGGAAAAGAAGCCTAGGGGTCACTTAGCTGGATCATGAAACAGATAAAGGCTGAGAATCAAGAAACTTGAGTTCTATTCCCAAATATGCCAGTGACATTTTAGAATATGTTTTATATTATAGTCATTTGAATTCTAGATGAGAAAACTGGTTCAACTGACAAAGGGGATATATATTCCTCAAGAGAGTCTTGCCTGGGCTTCCCATTCTAAGTCAGGTTATTTTTCTTCAAAGTAATTATCAGTGTTTGTAAATAATATAAATCAAGTAATTACAATAATGAAAGTTGGAATCCTTCTTGTTCAAACAGAAAGTATTTATGCCTTTGTTCACCCTACCTTATAGATAGTAGGTACTAAATAAATATTTGCTGGATAAATGAATCAATTATATAATATTATAAAGTACCTATTTGGGGAAAACTGTATTGCAAGCACTTTATATAAAGTAATGTAATGAAAAAGAATTAAGACATTAACATAGTCTTCGCAAGAAGCCAGTAATATCTATAAATAATAATACCTTTGAGAAATAAAAAACTGAAGTTCAGAAAGTTTAAGTAAATTGTTACCCACCAGTCAACTTGCAGAATGATAACATGAATATGTCATCTGATTCCCAAATCAGAATCTTCATGCAACACCAAAAATATGGCATTTTTTTTTTGCTGTGTGCCAACCAATGTTGCTAAAAGCTTATATATTCTACGTTACTAATTCTTCAAAATGAAACCTAAGTGAGGTGTAGTTTTATTCTCATTAGGAAACACAAACTTGGGATTTCTAAGCATATTTGCTGAGGTCAAACTATTGTTTTTCTTTTTTCTTTTCTTTTTTTTTGAGACGAGGTTTTGCTCTTGTTGCCCAGGCTGGAGTGCAATGGCGCAATCTCAGCTCATTGCAACCTTCCCCTCCTGGGTTCAAGTGATTTTCCTCCCTCAGCCTCCCGAGTAGCTGGGATTACAGGCGTCCACCACCACTACCGGCTAAGTTTTCGTATTTTTAGAAAAGAAGTGGTTTCACCATGTTGGCCAGGCTGGTCTCAAACTCCTGACCTCTAGGTTATCTGCCTTCCTTGGCCTCCCAAAGTGCTGGATTACAGGCATGAGCCACCGCACTCAGCCTGAGCTCAAACTATTAAATGGGTAAGAATTTGAATCTAGGTGTGTGATAAGGTTTGACATTTTTAACTACTGCACTGTTTATCTTAATAAAGATGCACCTTGCAAAAGCAAGTTCTATATACTTTTATAATTTTGAGAGATAAAAATATTTCACATTTCTGTCTACCTATTGATTTCTTTAGTTAAAACAAAAAGACATTTTAATCTTATGGCAGTGTTACTGAATATATAAAAACAGAGTGGTATAATAGATTATCCAACAGATTTTGGAATAAATAAAGTCAAGAAAAAATAATACATGCTGAACAAAGCTAAAATAATAAGTTTAATTTGGCTTTGACAGATATTTTGTAATCTTTGAACACCACTGTTAGAGGTATGAGAGAGACTGAAAGTCAACCTTTTCTAAAGAACAGCACCAACCACATCCTTGGCCTTCTCAAAACCTAAGGCAGCTCAGTTCCTCATTTCTTATCAAGCAAGTTTCAATATCTCTGGAATACCTTTAAATTCCAAGTCCAAATACTTTTCATGATTATCTTTGTCCATTCTTCTCTACAAAACTTTTCCAAGTACTCAGCTGATAGAGATTCCAGAAACCTGATGAACCTCATGTCTCTGCTGTGATCATTTTACTTCTATGTGGCCACTCTCTCCTTTCTCTCAGTCCACTGGGCAGCCAGCTCTTCCTACTCATTCTTAGAAAACCTACTCAAGTGTTGGTCATATCTCCTTAGAGTAGGGTGGCCAGATAAAATATATGCAATGTTTGGGATATACTGAAAAATGATCTGTTCTTTATCTGAAATTCAGTGTTATTGAGCTTCCTGTATTTTTGTTGTTAAATCTGACCTCCCTTCCATGAGAGCTCTTTTCTCCCAGAAATGTGTTTGTGATCCATAAGTCTGTGCACATAAGAATTGGATGTGTGGTATTTCTTCATTTGGCTCATTTGTATAGCCTCCCATGATGTTCCATGAGTTATCAGGGAAAGTATCGGGGATATTTATTTTTGCATATCTAGTTGTAGGTAGTATTTCTTAATTTCTCCTTTAACGATTGGCTTACAATAATATGGATGGACTTTGTATTGGGGCTGTTAGGGAGAGAGAAAGGAAGATAGGGAGATACAGATTCTTAATTCTAAAAATGCCATGGATTTCATCTTGTTCAACACCCACCTTTGTGCTCCAACCAGAATTTAATAAAATCATGTAACTATTTTCCTGCCTCAAACTGATTTGGGAAAAAAAGACAATCCATTTTTTTTTCCAGGCCTTGGGTTTGGTGAGTCATTTTTATTCTGCTATGTATGTATTTGTGAGTTGCTACATTGTGATTGTGTGTGTGCAATATTTAAATATGTATAATTATGCAATTTAGGCACTGTACACTTACTACAAAAGAAAAATGGAACATAAGAAAAGAGAAACATCACTTATGGAGGGCTAACTATGTTCCAGAGATGGGATTAATCATGTTTTATGTAATTTGTCCTCATATTAAAACCATCAGCTGTAAGATAGCCTCTATGTCATAGATTAAGCAAATAAACATGTGAGTGCTTAAGTAATTTGCTCAAGGTCACATATAGAATAAGCACTAAAGTAGAGTTTAAATCTAAATCTACCTATACCTGACTCTAAAGCCACTTATTAGTTTGAGTAAAGAGTTCATTGTAAACTTAAAATGCTTATACTGTTTTATGCCAAACATTCTATATTTTAATGCAAAAAAAAGCTTTTAGAAAAGAAGAGTATCAGTGGCTATATTCCCATTACTCAGAATTAGCAACTAACATATTTGTGTGCATGCTTTGTGTTTTTGTCTTAAAAATGTGTTTTTTTTTTTTTTGAGACAGAGTCTCGCTGGAGTCCAGGCTGGAGTGCAGTGGTGTGATCTCAGCTCACTGCTACCTGCACCTCCCTGGTTCAGGCAATTCTTATGCCTCAGCCTCCCAAGTAGCTGAGATTGCAGGTGTGCACCACCACTCCTGGCTAATTTTATATTTTGAGTAGAGATGGGGTTTTGCCATGTTGGCCAGGCTGGTCTTGAACTCTTGGCCTCAAGTGATCTGCCCGCCTTAGCCTCCCAAAATGTTGGGATTACAGGCATGAACCACCGTGCTAGGGAAGAATGTGTTCTTTTTGAGACGGAGACTTGCTCTGTTGCCAGGCTAGAGTACAGTGGTGCAATCTTGGCTCACTGCAACTTCTGCCTCCCAGGTTCGAGCGATTCTCCTGCCTCAGCCTCCCAAGTAACTGGGACTACACACGTGCACCACCACGCCCAGCTATGTTTTTGGTTTTTTTTTTTTTTGTATTTTTAGTAGAGACGGGGTTTCACCATGTTGGCCAGCATGGCCTCGATCTCTTGACCTCATGATCGACCCGCCTTGGCCTCCTAAAGTGTTGGGATTACAGGCATGAGCCACTATGCCCGGCCTTATTTATTTATTTATTTATTTATTTATTTATTTATTTATTTATTGAGACGGAGTTTCATTCTTGTTGCCCAGGCTGGAGTGCAATGGTGCGATCTTGGCTCACAGCAACTTCCACCTCCCGGGTTCAGGCAGTTCTCTTGCCTCAGCCTCCCAAGTAGCTGGGATTACAGGTGTATGCCATCACACCTGGCTAATTGTTTTGTATTTTTAGTAGAGACGGGATTTCTCCATGTTGGTCAGGCTGGTCTCGAACTCCCAACCTCAGGTGATCCACCCGCCTCAGCCTCCCAAAGTGCTGGGATTACAGACCTGGGCCACCATGCCTGGCCCTTATTTATTTTTATAAAATGAAAAATATGTATTAGAAAAAAATTCAAGCAGTGCAGAAAACTGCCAAAATGAACATTTAAGCAATCACAACAAATCCTGTCATTAAATATTATGTCTCCATAAATACAAACATCTTTCTTTGCATATATAAATGTCAGGATGTTGCAGCAAGAGAGACAGAAAGGGGAAGAGAGAAAGAAGGAAAGAGAGGCCGGGGGAGAGATGTAGATATAAATACAGGCATACTGGTTTTATTGTACTTCACTTTATTGTGCTTCTCAGATATTGCATTTTTTACAAATTGAAGATTTGTGGCAACCCTGCATAGAGAAATTTATTGATGCCATTTTTCCAATAACATGTGCTCCCTTTGTGTTGTGTCACATTTTGGTAATTATTGCAATATTTCAAACGTTTCTATTTTATTATAATATGTGTTACGGTGATCTGTGATCAGTGATCTTTGATGTTATTGTTGTAATTGCTATAGGGCACCAGGAAACATGCCCATATAAGATGGCAAAGTTAATTGATAAATGTTGTGTCTGTTCTGATTGCTCCATCTATCCCATCTCTCACCTTGGGCCTCCCTATTTTTTAAGACACAATATTGAAATTAGGCCAATTAATAACCCAACAATAGCCTCTAAGTGTTCAAGTGGAAGAAAGACTTGCACATCCCTCAGCTTAAATAAAAAGCTAGAAGTTATAAAACTGAATAAGGAAGGCATGTAAAGACCCAATTTAGGCTGAAAGCTAGGCCTCCTGTGCCAAACAGTCGGTCAAGTTGTAAATGCAAAGGAAAAGTTTTTGTAAAAATTAAAAGCACTACCCCAGTGAACACAAGAGTGATAAGAAAGTGAAACAGCCTTGTTGCTATAAAGAAGTTTGAGTGGTCTGGATAGAAGATCAGACCAGTCACAATGTTCCTTTAAGCTAAAGTCTAATCCAGAAAAAGGCTTAATTCTCTTTTAATTCTATTAAGGTGAGAAAGGTGAGGAAGCTGCAGAAGAAAAATATGAATCTAACAGAGGTTACTTAATGAGGTTTAAGGAAATAAGTTATCTCCATAATATAGAAGTGCAAGGTCTAATGAAGAAGCTGCAGCGAGTTATCCAGAGGTCTAGCTAAGATCATTGATTAAGGTGGCTAGGCTACACAATAGATTTTCAATGTAGACAAAACAGCATTCTATTGGAAGATGATGCCATCTAGGACTTTTGTAGCTAGAGAGGAAAAGTTAATGCCTGGCTTTAGAGCTTCAAAGGACAGACTGACTCTCTTGTTAGAGAGTAATGCAGCTGATGACTTTAAGTTGAAACCAATGATCATTTACCATTTTGAAAGTCCTAAGGCCCTTAAGAATCATGTTAAATCTGCCTGTGCTCTACAACTGGAACAACAAAACCTGGATAGCAGCACATATGTTTACACATGATTTGCTGAATATTTTAAGCCCCCTGTTGATATCTACTGTCCAGAAAAAATAGATTTATTTCAAAATATTACTGCTCTTTGACAATGTACCTGATCACCTGAAACCTCTGATGGAGAAGTACAAGGAGATTGATGTTGTTTCATTGTCTGCTAGTATAACATCCATTCTGCAACCTATGTATTAGGCGATAATTTCAGCTTTCAAGTTTTATTATTTAAGAACTAAATTTCATAAGGCTATAGATACCATAGATTAGTGATTCCTCTGAGGAATCTGGGCAAAGTAAATTGAAAACTTTCTGAAAAGGATTTACCATTCTACATGCCATAAAGAACATTCATAATTCATGGAAAGAGGTCAAAATAGCAACATTAAGAGGAGTTTGGAAGAAGTTAATGTCAACCTTCATGGTTGACTTTAAGAAGTTCAAGACTTCAGTGGAGGAGGAAATGAAGATGAGGTGTAAATAGCAAAAGAGCTAGAATTGGGAATGGAGTCCGATGATATGATTGCATTGCTTCAAACTTATGGTAACACTTGAACGAATGAGGAGTTGCTTCTTATGAATGAGCAAATAAATGGCTTTTGAGATGAAATCTATTTCTGGTGAAGATGCTATAAACATTGTTGAAAAGACAACACAAGATTTAGAATATTTTATAAACTTATTTGATAAAGCAGTGGGAGAGTTTGAGAGAACTGACTCCAATTTTGGAAAGAGTTCTACTGTGATAAATTGCTATCAAACAGCATTACATGCTACAGAAAAACCTTTGTGAAAAAAAAGAGTCCATTGATACTGCAAACTTCTTTGTTGTCTTATATTAACAAACTGCCATAGCCACTTCAACCTTCAGCAAATACCACCGTAAACAGTCAGCAACCATCAACATCGAGGCAAGATCTCCCATTAGAAAAAAGACTATGGCTCCCTGAAGGTGCAGAAGATCATTGGCTTTTTTTTTTTTTAGCAATAAAGTACTTTTAATGAAGATATGTACTTTTTTTTAGACTTAATGCTATTGCACACTTAGACTACAGTGTAGTGTAAACATAACTTTTATATGCGTTGGGAAACCAAAAAAGATGTGTGACTTGCTTTATTGCAATATTGACTTTATTGGGAACCTACAATATCTGTGAGTTACTTTTACAAAAATAAAACTGTATCAAAATAGTGTCTTTATTAGAATTATTAATTTGAATATTATTTGACTATTACATAATTAAAACCAACTGATATAAATCTGAAGATTAGCAAAATTAAAGTATTTCTTTACAATAGGTGATATTATTTACTGAAAGATTCTTGTAAATTAAGAGATTATGAAATAAATACTACACCTTGTACTTATTTTTAATAATGTTTTAATTTTAGCTTATAAAATAAGTTTTTTGAAAGATTACGCTGCAAATCTCTCTTCTGTACCTGTTCTCCAATTTATAAGAGCATATGTGTGTGTGTATAAACTTTTTTTTTTTTTTTGAGACAGTCTCACTCTGTTACCCAGGATGGAGTGCAATGGTGCAATCTCAGCTCACTGCAACCCCCGCCTCCCGGGTTCAAGAGATTCTCCTGCCTCTGCCTCCTGAGTACCTGGGATTACAGGTGCCTGGCTAATTTTTTTGTGTATTCAGTAGAGACAGGGTTTCACTATGTTGGCCAGGCTGTTCTCGAACTCCTGACCTCATGATCTGCCCATCTTGGCTTCCCAAAGTGCTGGGATTACAGACATGAGCCACAGCGCCCAGCCTATAAACCTTTATTAAAAAATATGATTTTTACATCTTTTTCTATAGCCATAAGTTACATAACTTTTATTTGTTTTAGCATTATCTTTAAGCTTAAATGCACTTTATTTTTTACCATGGTCTTTTTACCATGGATTGTCTATCTCTGGATTCTTGAGTTTGATTCTGCCTTTAATTGGTAGGATATTATCAAGCAGGTTTTCAAAGACAATCTCACAGATTCTATGCTCATCAAGATTTTTAATGATTGAGAATGTCTGCTTTTTTCCTTTATAGTTAGAAGACCTTTTGGCTAGATTTAATATTCTTGAATGTCACTATCTTTCCTCAAAACTCTAGATGTTTTCTGTTGACATGCAGTTCATTGTATTCTAGAAGTGAATATAGCTGTGGAAAAGGTTGAGACTACTCCAGTTTTTCCTCCATGTAGGTGACCTGTTTTGTCTGTCAAAATACTTGAAGAATTTGTTTACTGTGTCAGTGTGACAGTTTATCTGGGATATATATTTGTCCTATGATTTTCATATCCTAAAACATTATGTGTTCTTGTGATATATGTATTCAATTTTTATTTTTTCCAGTAATATATCTTTCATTATATGATTAGGTAGATTTTCTGTTCTGTATGTAGGATATTCTACTTTAGGGATACCAATTACCTTGTGCTGAATTACCACATCTTCTAAATCTATTAGCTTATCTCTAATTGTTTTACTCTGCATTTTCATCTTCCTTTACCATGATTATTTCAGTGTCAGTAATTCAGGTTTAAAATCTATATTCTGTTTTATTCATATTTTTCAATTTACTAGTTGCATAATGAGAAAGTTTGGTCCCTAAAATGTTTTCTTCTATCTGCAATTTATTTTATTTATTTATTTATTTATTTATTTATTTATTTATTTTTGAGATGAAGTCTCGCTCTCTCACCCAGGCTGTAGTGCAGTGGTTCGATCTTGGCTCACTGCAACCTCTGCCTCTTGGGTTCAGGCGATGTTGCTGCCTCAGCCTCCCGGGTAGCTGGGATTACAGGCGTAAACCACTGAGCCCAGCCTACTCCAGATTATTTTCTTTCTTTCGCCAAGCACCGGTTGTTGAAGATGAGGTTATTCCTCCTTCTTTTTTTCTTTTGTTACTTATTGGAAAACTTTCCCCAAAGTGTTTATTCTTATTGCTATTGTTTGAATTTATAGGTATTAGGGGAGAAAATTCTTTGAGTTTTAAAATGTTTATTTAAATCTCAATTTTAAAATATGTTATTATATTTCTATACTGAAGATGACAATTCATGTGCCTCTCTTCTTCACCCCTAATTCAGTTGAAAAATCCATTTTAATTAGCTTCTTAATCACATCTGGCTATTAATACATAGTTGTTCTTCTATTGTTCTCAGAAAATTGTGAGCTCCTTGAATGTAGAATGTGTGCTTTCTCTTCCTTTTCTTTTAGTTCTCCTAGTATTTAGCCCAATGCTCAACGCATGTAAAATGAATGAATAGATAAATGAATTTTCATGGAACCTGATCCATGTTCAACATAAGGACTTACTTTCTAATAGTTAGGGGTCTCTAAAAATAATATAGAAATGTTTCAGAGGTTTAACCATTGTTAAAAATACTTAAAGTGGGGACTCAATGATTATCTGAAAGGGATATGTGGGATGGAGAATTTCTAAGATTTTTCTATGCAGTTGAAATCGGAAATTTGTTCTCCAGTAGCGTTTTAATATAAAGCACATATTTAAAAGAGTTCCGAAAAGGTTTCCACAGGTATTTCCAGCTAGAATTCCTCTTTTTTTTTTTTTTTTCAAATGTTCTGGGCACTTCTAATTCTAAGATAGCTGATCCATTTGTAAGAATTTTTCACTGGTAAATTTTCACGCACTGTTTCTTTTGTTCTGGACTTATTTCTAGTGACATTTAATATAATAATAAGAAGGACGAAAACAACAACATTACTACTAACACAGCAATAGCAACGCCAATAAAAAAATTAATATTCTAGTCTTAAATAAACCTTTTTGCCATTCATCTTTTGAATCTGAAACTCTGACATTGTCTGTGACTATTTCGAAGGCAATGTGAGAGTTTATTCAAATGCATTTTTAAGCTTATGATTATTAACTTTCCAAACTCGGAAGCATCCCTGGAGGTTTCTTCAGTAGCTATGTCCTCTACCTGACTTTCAGTCTCTGCCTGCAAACAATCATGGGAGTGCAGGCAATTTTAAAGTAAAATCACTTTGGCAGAAAGGTTTGTTTCTTTTTCTTTGTTGCCCTGGTATACCACTAGTTTCAAATGCCTAATTTAAACTTGAAAGAAAATTCCTGATGTCCTTGCTTTACATTTCTAGAGATCCAATCGAGTACCAGGTCCAGCGGTAATCTATTCGCAGATGTAGTGGAACAGTGAGTAACTTAAGTAGGATAAACTTATAATAGGTCAGGAGCTTTAAAAAAAAATCCGGAGAATCCTGACAAAATGGAAATACCATTCTCGACTTTTATATGTGGCTTACAACAAAACTTGAAATAATAATAATTATGTTTTAGCATGCCATGTCTAAGTATGAGTGTGGTAAATACTTAAAATACCATATCAGGCTATATGAGAATCACTTTCTACTTTTCTGAGATGGAAAGTTGAGGCTCAGAGTTGGCACTTGAAAAAATCTGTGAAATGTAGAGCTAGGATTTGAACTGAGTTCTCGGCAAAATTTAGAATATGAGAAGAAAAAAACCTGGCATTTAAACGAAGGAAAGAATGAGATAAACATCCAGTAGGGTATTTTATGTCAGGAATGGAATGTTTTGTAAAGCAGGTCATAGAGAAAGAAAAATAAATAAATAAAAAGAGAGCAAAGTAAGGGGGATCTGAAAGCTCTGGAGTTTTACTATTAAGTGGGATGATCAGATAATCCTTTTCGAGAAGAAGACCTTTGAGCAGAAGATGAAAGGAAGTGAATTAGTTCATCATGCAATTATGTGGAGGAAGAGTTTTAGACATTTTAGTCCATGCAAAGACTCTAAGTAGGAGCATGTTTTGAGAAGTCCTATAACAATAAAGAGCCTAGTAGAGCTGGAATTGTGTGGTTGGGTGGGGAGATAAAAATGGGGGCATGAGCAGTGGGGATTAAACAGAGATGAGCTTAGGAGATGAAGGAAGGGCAGGTGACATAAACAGCAAAACAGACAGGATGTTAGGCATTAAGTTTTCACAGAGCCTCTGCTAAACTAGAGAGTGCACACCCAAATTAAGGACCTTCGTGTTGAATTTTATAATAATAAAACACAGTTCTGACAAACAAAGCACATTATGGGGCAGAGTTCAACAAGTTTTCTACTACTAATTTAATTTAGTGCCTTCCATTTATACAAAAGGAGGCTGGGCCCACAGAAGTTCAATGTCACAGTTGGTAGATGCCTGACTTTGGACTTCTAAAATGTTCCTTTATTTTCTCCTTCCGCTAAAAACTGTTCTGTGTCCTGGCAAAGTTTTAGAAAAGGGGATTGAGCATAAACTAGGGGAAACTCAATTTCCAAGGAAAGCTTCCAGTGACTTAGAAAACTTGAGATATCATTGCATAATCTAAAAGAACAAAGTTGCTTTTAAACGCGGATTTATTCAATCCACTGAAACATCTCTAAGTCCCCATGATAGAGGATGGATTGCACCACCAGTTGAACTTCCATCCATGTAACTTGGTGAAATGATTTTTGGATCAAGTTAATCCCTTCCTTCTTCTATCCAGTTCTGTAGGAGCTATCACTTTAGATGATAAGGACTCTTCTCCCCTAGTATGCATTTCTCTCTCCCATCTTTTAGATCATTAAGCCTTAGGAATGCAGCGAGAGTCTGCCTGTCAGTGCCTATACCATGTGGTATTTAAAGTACTCTTTGCAAAACATAATGGCGAAATGGAAAGAATATACACTATAGTTGAATGTTCCATGTTCTAGGGCCTGCTGTGTTTATATATATATATATTTTTTTCCTTCCAGTCTCAGAAGAATAAAAAAGAAAATAACCTAAACAAAAGCTTCTGTATGGTCTGGTTCACAGTAAAACTAATTTCTAATGAGCCCTTATTTATTCCCATATCCTCTTCAACAATTATGATAAGTGTTCCAGTGCATTTTAGGTCTTGCTAAATCCCAATTTCTTTTATGTGTTTATGCTATTTGTTATTTACAAACAACAGTTGAGGTGTGATTAATTGGATGAGTGTGGGGGTGAATGGATAGAGGGATGGGCAAACACATGAATTAATTAATGAATGTATGAAGTGAATTGATTTTCAGCATTGGGCACTTAAGTCAATCTTGATGGATGTCTAATAGCTCATTCGGTCAATGACAATATCTAAAATTACATCCAACTCTGAAATTTGTGATTCTATAAATAGTGTTTATCTCATATATCATCAAGGCCATGGCATACACTGAATAATTATTTCTTCTTTATATTTATAAGTTAAATATATTAGCAATTGCATAGATGAAATATGTGCATATGAGCTGTTCTGAATCACAAAATGTTGAATGGGATTACGTTCTTTTTAGGAATAAAATGACATGCAATATACTGCTATATTTTTACTAGAATCTTATGTTTTTCACTAAAAATGTATTAAGAAAGACAGGAACACTTGAGAACACTAAGATAATTCCTGAGTTTTATAATTGGTGACTGAAGCTCAGAAAAATAAAAAACAATCTTTGTTTGGTCTTGTCTATGGCTACTAAGATTCTTCTAGGCATACCCAACCCATTTTTGATAAGTAAATGCAGAAGAGAATTTTAAAGTCAATCAGACAGAGGTCAAATATAAAATTTGGATGAATGGAAACACAACATACTAAAGTCTGCTAAAGGTGTATACCCTTTTAAATCACAACATACTCATCTAGAAAGCTTCAGTGAAAAATCCTAAAGTCTTTGCAGATTTTTCTTTACCCAATATGTTAAATTTTAAAGTGGATTCAATGACCCCAAGTCTATGTTCCTTGTTTTACTAAAATAGCTTATCGATTAGCCAAGGTCTAAACAAAGCTTTCTACATGATTCATTGATTAAAAATAAGATAGGAGAGCTTATTAACACAGTTCTCAGATACATCCTTATTCATAAGCCCCCCTCTTTTTTTTACTTACCTTTCACAATAGTAAAAGCAAAAGAGCTTATCTACTTTTACATTTCACTAAGCATAGATCATTCACCATTTTGTTATTTTCCAGAGGAAATTTTGAAGAAAATACACATATGTTATGTTATTTGGTGAATTAAATATCTGAAATATGTTATTTGGTGAATTAAATATCTGAAATATCAAACTGTTTAATAGTTTATCACAGCTTCAGATGTTAGAGAAATTGTAGCCATTTAATATGCTTATTTTGATATCATAACTTAGCACAATCTGACCCTAATACAAAATGCTAACTTATTAAGGAAGCAGAGGATCCTTTGGAAAATGTTCTTTAAATATTTCTTATGGTGGACTAGCTCATTGTTAAAAACTGTTCAGTTTTATCACTAAAATTTGAAAAGAATAATGATTAGATTTGTCTCATATTTATTCATATTTTCCATGTACAGATTTTTAGATCAACGTGGGTAAATGGTTCCATAGTGACATGCATGGCTTCCAATCCACATTTACAAGATGTCATCTTTTGCTAGGTTGACTATAAAACTTATCATTCAAACTAGAATACTTTTGAGAATGAGAGATAGTACTATTAATAATTATGCTGGAAAAGTCCTTTCTTCCTTGGGCACAGAAGCCTGGATGCTCAAGTCAAATTGCCCTTTATGTGTAGAAAGGCAGTTTTCTCTAATAAAAAACAAAGACAGCAAACAAAACTAAAAATGAAACAAAAAAGCAAGACCCCCTCAAAAATGTACAAAACAGTTTGATTATATTTGAGTGCTAGGATCCAGTTGCCAAGGTAAACTCTAAAACTATCCCTTCCTCTCCTTTGCTTTAATGAAGTAAATAAAGATAACCTTTCCAGACATTTGTGTATGGTTGTTTTTCTATTTCGTTGCTTTTTGGGTATGAAACAAACTCTAATTTATTCTGTAAACCTTTCCAGTGGACTTTTATTCAGTGATGCTGGTCTTAAAGTTCCAGAAGATATTACCCTCTTCTCTACTATATATTCTTTTACTTGATAATACTTCCATAATTACATGTTTCATTGCAGTGCATTTTTTTTGCATGTGAGCTTCTACTATAGTACGTGTTCTGTAAAGTTTGTTTTTAACTTCCATCTCTAAATCTCAGCACTTTAGTGTCACAGATTAAGTTGTCAGAAAGAGTTAAAAGTAATAACCTTGAAAAGGGGTTATCTGTCTTGCTAAGAAATGAGGGTACTCTACAAGATGTCATTCCTGATAATTGACAGAAATAATAATTACAAAGCAAGTTAATAAACTTCAGCACAATATTGAAGCTGACATTGGTGATGAAACCATTTTTACCATATATTTTACGCCATAAGTTGTATATAATAAAACTTTTTGGTCAATTTCAACCTTTTTCTCTTGAAATTTCTGTTGTACCTTCTGTAGAAATGCTTCATCAGAAATACTCATTTTTCTCTGCTGTTCTTCTGGGTGTTTTATGATAATCTCATAATTAAATGATACTCAAGGTTATTTTGCATTGGAAAAAGAAAAGTATGCACATAGTATATCAAAATGTTTCATATCTAAATATTGCTCTACTTAATTCACTTTGCTTTGTAGTATATAATTTGATGTTTAACATTAAAAATGGCCAAGCGCAGTGGCTCATGCCTGTAATCCCAGCACTTTGGGAGGCCAAGACAGGCGAATCACCCGAGGTCAGGAGTTCAAGACCAGTGAAACCCCATCTCTACTAAAAATACAAAAATTAGTCAAGCATAGTATTGCATACCTATAGTCCCAGCTTCTTGGGAGGCTGAAGCAGGAGAATTGCTTGAGCCTAGGAGGCGGAGGCTGCAGTGAATCGAGATCGTGCCACTGCACTCCAGCCTCGGGGACAGAGTGAGAGTCCATTTCAATAATAATAATAATAATAATTAATAATAATAATAATAGTGTGTTTACCTATACTTGGCTTTGCTATTTTTTTTCTGTTAAACATAGAGTTTAAGAACAATAAGAAGGGCTTAATGGCAGTAGTCATTCTAATGAATGATTTAATTTCAGGTTTAGTAACATAAATGCTCATGTAAAATTCCACGTGTATTACACATTTGCATAAGCTTCCATACTTTTATCATCCAGATGGGTTTCAGGGAGGGATATTTAAAATGTATTTGTGCACATGTACCCTAAAACTTAAAGTATAATAAAAAAAAGAAAAAAGAAAATAAAATATATTTGTGTGAAAATCAGATTTAAGTTGCAAAGCTTCCCAGATTAAATAGAGAGCAAAAACTTCTGTTGTTAAAATTATGCCATTATGAGAATATTCCAGTAGATTACACTTTGAAAAAGACTTAGTACTGTATGTTTATTTTGGCACTGGCAGGAACAGAGATGGTTTTACCTAAAATATATTAGAAAAGAATCATCTTTAGTGAATCTAATTTATATTTTAAGCAAAACAAACAAACAAACAAAAAAACCTAGATTCACACACCTTCTTCCCTAATAGAATTATATTTGTTTGAATTTGTTTTTTCTTCTATGTCAAAAGTTCAACCTTGCAGCTATTTTAACCTTTCAGTAAAATATAAGAAAACCAAATATTTAATCTACGTACTAGAGAATCTTTATTTTATATGAGAACTCAAAAATATTTCACTTAACCCCATCTCTACTAAAAATACAAAAATTAGCCGGGGGTGGTGGTATGCGCCTGTAGTCTCAGCTACTCAGGAGGCTGAGGTAGGAGAATCGCTTGAACCCAGGAGGCAGAGGTTGCAGTGAGCGGAGATCGCGCCACTGCACTCCAGCCTGGGTGACAGAGTGAGACTCCATCTCAAAAAAAAAAAAAAAAAAAAAATTCACTTGTCTTAAATTCCCATATGACTTATTCTAGGCTATTATGAGAGTTGAACATGGAAAGATATAGTTAGCATAAGTGCTATGATGTTGGCACTGAAACGGATGTGAAAGACACTTTGTTAGCTCTCCATCATAAAGACAAGTTTTGTAATCTGTGAGTTGGCATTCTTAGGATATCTATTTTCCGATTCTCCATTCTTATTTCTCACCATTCATTTACAACTTCACGCTAGAGAGTCCAAACATTAAACCCATTATGGTTCCCTACATTTGTCTTTTTAATCTGTTTGTACATATGGGTGTGTGTGCACTTTAGCTGCCTAGCATGTATTTTTCACCCTGCGAGAACTGTGATGCATCATTTTTAAAAGATGAATAGATTTCCATTAGGTGGACCAGTGCTTGATCAAACATCAACCTCCCTAAATTTAACCTTAGCTCTGTCACTGATCAATTGTCTGGTAATGTAGAAATTGCATAATCTCTGTCTGTACCTGAGTTTCTTCTTGTGTCAAATGGTAATACTATTATATCTGAAAGAATAGTTGTATTTATGAAGATATATTAATTTCACATAGTTTCAGGTTTTTAAGGGATGCTTATTAAAGACTGTCAAAAAGTAAAAAAAAAAAAAAATGAATTAATGTAATTCTCTCTATACCATTATTTGTTTGGCCTGATGGTAAAAATTGAAGTGATAGTTTCAGTGAAAAATAGTTTGGTATTTGTTTGTTTTTTAGTGTAGTCTCCAACTGTGAAATCTCTGGGATTTTACTCTCTTTCCAGTACTCACCAGAATTATCTTAATCATGTTCACACACTAAACAGAAGATGGCACATCACCAGAATCCCCTGGTAACTTTATAAAAACGCAATGTTTCATGTCTCCCACTCCTCCCAACCCCACAAAATGCTGATTCTGAAGGTCTGGAGTAAAGATGCACCATTAAGTAATTCCACTTTATCTTCAGATTGGGGTCTGCTTTCAGCTACTGCATAGCCACTATGATCATCTCCTCCAACTCTGCCTTCTCGTCCTCTTTTTATCCTTCGGATATCTCTTATCATATCCAATAATTGCGTTCTAGGCTGCCAAAAAGCTAACAGAAGTCACCTGAAGTCTGCCCCATTGCGATGCATTCATTCTTTTCTTTTTTTTCCCCCTCACAAATCTTTATTGAGTGTCTTCTGTGTATCAGGCACGGTGCTATCTGCTAAGTGAGCACTGCTTATCTTTTAGCCTAAAGATTGTATTGCTGAGTAACAAGAATTCAGACTGCCTGGGTTTTAACCCTGGATAAAACCACTGCTAGCCATTGTGTAACACTGGGTGGTCTCTAACCCCACTCATCTGACTTAAACATCTCTGGCATGTGGATAGCATGCTCCCCAAGTCTCTGGATTCTTTGCAAGATATTTATTATAATCCGATAAATTCACATAACATGTTAGTTATAAATTTTATTAAAAGAAATATTAGTGATCATGGAGACATCATAAAAAAGTAAACCAACCAATGAAAATTTATAAGGTATAAGTTTCATGGAGGGCAAAGACTACGATGCTTGAGAAAAAGCAGAGAAGAAAGATTCAATGAAGTGATAGAAGAAAGCTTCTTGAGTAGGTGACAGTGAAGTTGGTATGTGGAAGGTAAGAATAAAAATGACCTAAGAAAGCCAGTGGCAAAACATTTCTGGCAGAATAAGAGGCATATCCAGAGACTTGCATCATAGAATCACATGGCATATTCCAAAAGCTGAAAGAAGGGCAGGAAGTATACAGCTGCTGCCCAAAATGAGGATCCAATTGGCTGTTTAAAAGGGGTTATTACAAAGCTCGAGGCTGCTGAAGCACCTGCGGCACCTAATTGACATTCTCTGCTCATGAGCACTACAGCTGTCCCCTGTAGTGGTGGCCAGTGTTTTTGCCAAAGGCATTAGGTTGTCTGTTTAAGCTATGACAAGCGTGTCCAAAACCCACCCACTCATAAGATGATCTCTGGAGCACTTACTTGCCTAGAGCCCCTCTTTCATGCTGAGTTTCTGACTAGCTTTCACCTGAAAAGTTCACCTGGCACTATGAGTCCAAAGTTCATCACATTTATAATAAAATGTCTCTTTACATTTAAGATGTCTTTAGATGTGTTATTAAGTCAATTCTTCTAGACTCATTTTAAGACACATGTTGCTAGATGGATAAGAATTGGGCTCCAATGTCATGTTACCATTTATATTTCCTCTCTGAAACTTAATTGCTCTGGGGACCTTTGATATATGGTTTTTAATGTTCCATTAAAACATTAAACACAAACAGTGGGTAAAAATAACACCTCTTTATTAACTCAAAGTTGTATCAGTCAGAAGTCTGAGCACAGTATGACAGGACTTTTAGTTCAGGGTTTCACAAAGCTGAGACCAAAATCTCAGCCTGGCTCTCATCTTGAGGTCAAGGGTCTTCCAAGTTCACCTGATGATGGCAGAATTCAGTTCTTTGCTGCTTCAGTACTGAGGTCCCTGTTTCCTTACTGGCTGTCAGGCAGGGGCTTCTTGGAGCTCCTGGACATTCCTATCTATGTGGCCAACTCTATCTTCAAAGCCAGCAACACAGAATCTAACTCATGTTGACTCCTTCTCCCTCTTCAGATGCTTTCTTCAGGAAGAGCCTGGTTGTTTTTAAGGGTTCACCTCATTAAGTCATATCCACTCAGACAATCTCCCTTTCTTAAATGCAACTGTGTCTTACAGTCATGGGAGTGACTATCCCATCATACTTGGAGTCCACATTCATGCTGGAGGGCAGGGGCAGAAATCTAGGGAGGCTCTTTAGAATGTTACCTTTGTCAAGGCTTCAAGCCATAGATTCCTCCTCCTTAAATCAGGGATGATAATGGTGCCTGTGGTTTGGATTGCTGTGATGAGTAAATGAGATAATCAATGTAAAGTGCTTGCTACACCTACTGGCATATAAATGGTCTTAAGAAATACCAGTGCTGTTACTCACACTATTATGAACCCTAAAACAATCACCAGCACCTCCACTATTACATTTCTTAAGGACAAGTCTTGTGTGGTCTGTGGCAGATGGCGTATAATCTACATTCATGGTTTCCCTTTTTTTCTGACCCTAAAATGATTATTTGTCCAAGAAACCAAGGATCCACTTGACTCCAAACAGATTCCTGGAAGATTTTCATTCCCATTTTCCTTAAGGAATATGATTCCTTGAGTAAACACAGTGGAGCTTCCATATGTACTCATTTTCTCCAACACATACACATACACATACACATACACATACACATACACATACACACACACACACACACACTACACTCTTCAAAGCAAGAGAAATAATCATTTCAGATGTATTTTATAATGACACAAAACTGCATTTATATCCTAACTCTACTAGGATTTTGTAATCAGCTTCCGAGAGCCTCGACTTCCTTACCTATATTATAGATATATTAGTGATAACTATCATACAGAGTGGTTATTAGAATTAAATTACTATACAGTAACTTCCAGGTAAATTGTAGCTATCATTGTTAGCATAAATCCAGCACAATTTGTTATCCCATTTATGCAAATGACTCAGAAATTTCCAACCTGGTACCCCCAAAATATTAAATATGCCATTTTAGTCATTTTTTAAAGTAAAGAGAAGGACAAACATTCCTAATTGTTCATCACTAAAAATTTTTCTTTCTAGATGCCAGGACACCAGCAGGATGATACCTTTTTAAAAAATAAATAAGTATTCAGTGTTTTGAAGCATTTTGTTTTTGCATTTATTCTGATTTATTCTACAGTAGGTTTCTGGGGAAATCTCAAACACTTTTTATTGCAGGCCATGAGAAATGCTATATAGGTGTGGATTTGGATGGATGTGATGTTTGGAAGCATCCTGGTTCATTTTTCTTCCTTTGACCATCCATGCTGATTGAGGCAAGAACAGTATTGAGCTGATCACTTTGATTCGTGACATCTGCTGTGTTTCTCCACCTGAGCCACCTTACCCCAGATGTGATCTTCCCCACAGAGAAAATGCAAAGAGATATCGTTGCAACCACCAGTATCAGTAAATGCTTTTCACAAAACAGGAAGCTAAAATAAGGGGGAAATCTATCTGCTATCTTAACACCCTAAAGAGCTTGAAATGGATTTTTTGACATTCAGTGTTTCACTCACTGGTATGTATCTCCAAGGTTGAGCTGTTTTTATTATGTTTAAAGATAATATTGCCTTTTTTTCTTTCCTCTTCTTTTCTTTTTGAATGACATAGTGTTATTTTCCAGAATTTGAAATGCATTCAAAGTAAAACCATGCTGAAGTGAAGGGTGATTTTAGTTAACATTTTGATGGTCCATGTTAGTATTTAATGTTGCATTTTTGACTAGGCAGAAGTAGAGTTTATTTATTCACTAAAAAAAGACTTACAGAACATCTAGTTTTTGCCAAGCACAAAATTAGGCACTGAGAATATAGATATGCAGCATAGGATTGTGTTAAAAGAACAGTCGGGATTCAGACTGTTTAAGATCACCACTTTCTTAAGGCTAAGAGGCCTTAAGAAAGCCACCTAATTCCTCTTGCCTTATTTTATCAGTATAATGTCTATAACAACAGTACCTACATCAAAAGGCTGTAATGAGAAGTAATCAAGTTAATATTTGTAAAATGCTTAGAAAACACTGCCTAACATGTAAGTTCTATATACGTCTAAAAAGCATTAATGAAATTATCACATTTGCCTTCATGTAGCTCACAGTCTTAAGGGAAAAAAGAACTACTAAATGACTGTATTTCATGATTAGGTGATTAAAAATTAAACCTTCATAGCAGTGACATAAAGTAACACCTAATGCAGTTGGGACAAGGAGGTGTGAGGAGAATAAGTAAGCCTTCAAGGAAAGCTGATGCTTGATTTGCATCTTGAAGATTGAGCAGGGGTTGATGAAGAAAATGGATGAGAATTCCAGGCATTCAATTCTGCATTGACAATACAGCAGATTAGCCAGACCAATGAGACTATGTAGGGGGACTCGTGGGTGGTGAGGCTGCAGAAATAGACACGTACCAGATGATGGAGAAGATATGTGTTGGTTAGTTTTATTTTCTTTCTCTGAGGGCAACAGAGTCACTGAAGTATTTTTACCAGACGTAATTGTAATGACTAATATCAGGTATAGTATGTTGGAAGATTCATACTAGTAGGTAAGAGGAGAAAAAAGACTCAAGGCAGGAGACCCCATCAACAGCCTGCAGTAATAGGATTAGATGAAATAAGTCAACAGCAGTGGAAGAAAGCTGAGAAAATAGATACAAACTTGACTGATAAGATGCCAGCAGCCAGAAAGAAGAAAGAGCTCTGAGCCACTGTGTGGGAAACACAAGGAATTGGATTTACTAACCACTAGTTATTCTGAGTGCAATTCATCCATTCATATTACATGGCAAAGGAAAAAGATGCCATGAATTTATTGCAATATTGATGACAAATATTGCATTAGCAGAACTTCATGAATCAGTGGAGCACAACATTAAACCAAGGGCGCTTGCCTTTATAATTAGAGAGAAAAGCAAAATTAGAAAGCTTCTAATCCACCACTCCCAGCGCACCATGAATCAGAGAGATTAAAGATACAAACAAGATTTAGGCATTTCGTTAGCTTCAGCACAAAGCAGAATAACATGGACTCTGCCATTAGGTAGACTTAGATTCAAACGAATCACTAGAGCTGTCAACCTGCAAAAGCCACTGTTTCATCTTCTCATTTGTGAAATGGCAAAATATTTCAACTTTAAATAGTTTGGTGCAAACTAAAATTTTGTACTATTATTTATGTAAATTATCAAGATTCTAATACGTGTTAGACCCTTGAACAAATTATAAGGCCAGCAGCCACTTCCATTTATTAGTATTTTAAATGTTTAATTCATAAAGGACTTCAGTTGACTTAGAATAAGAAGACATCCGTTAAATAATAGAATGTTGAACTAGAAATTATAAGGCAAGACCATAGCAAAAGAAAATAAAATTTGGATCATGAAAAGGAAAACCAAATTTGAACATAAAGGTCAACTTCTTTGCCAGAGTTGAGATAATATTTGAATTGAGTCCCAGTGAGATAGATAAATGTGCCAGAGCCCAGAGACGATGCCAGGTCTCCTGCCTAGTAGGGCAATGCACTTCCTCCTTCACCAAGAAATGACTGAATTAAGAATAAAATACTACAGGAGGAAATGTGCTACAGGTAATTAAAAGCTCTATAGTCTGTTGGAGGAAAGTGGATGCAAACATTTCAACCCATGTGTTTCACTTTGAATTCTGCATGGTGAATATGAGAAATCACATTTGCTGTTCTATTTTCCTTTAAGTAGCCCTGCATGTTATACTTTTCCATTATGCTACCATCTTATTAATGAAGAATTATTATGGCAAAGAAATCTTTTGAGACAGTTTAAGCCAGCAAACTGCTTAAAGGGGAGGAAATGATGTTTCCAAATTGGAATCAGAGACTCCTAAACATGAGGACACATAGTATCTTGCTTCCAGTCTCTCACTTGAGCCACAATCATAATGCATTTCTGAAATATCTTGAGGGGGAAGAAAATAAACAGTACTCAGCAAAAAATAAGTGTGTTGGATTTTCAGAGAAGCAGATATTTACACAGATGTTAAGCTTAGAAATGAGAAAAAGGTGAATGACTCTCTAGGGACAAGTAGCTACACAGGATTCAAAGGTAAATTATGGAATATGAAATGTTCTTATAGAGAAAAACTGCTGAGTAATTAAAGAGAAAAATAACTGGTCATAGAACTTGCATGTGATGAAGCAGAGACAATCAATGGACACACAATTTCCTTTAAGAGAGCAGGAAAAGGAAGATATATTTCTTTCTTTCAGAATCAGAAGTATAATTTATGAAATGACAGCTTTTACTTTCCATCAGAATATACACATTTTCTTCCTATTCTCTCGGGATCTCAATCAGAATGTGGAAAATAAAATCTCTGTCAAGAGGAAAAGGACTCTGATATGTTCCAGAACAGAACAGTTTTAATGAACCCTGAAAGCTGATAAATCTAAAAGTTACAATTTAGTGAATTAAGCATCATTTAAGGCCTAGTGATATTGGGGCTGAGGCAAACAAACAAAACAAACAAATAAAAAAAATATTGTGAGATAATTTAAAAACAAGTGATTTATGTCAGTTTCCTCTTCTATGGATTCTGATTCTAAGAAGCATGATTGATGAGATATTTGCTCTATTACTTATCTGTTACTGGGGAGCAAACTGCCTCAAAACTAAAACTATAAAACAGCACACATTGATTATTTCACAGTTTCTGTGGTACAGTGTTTCAAGAGTGGCTTATCTGAGTGATCTAGCCCACAGTGTCTCAGGAGATCGATATGAAGACATCAGCCAGGGCTGCACTCATCTGGAAGCTTGACTGGGGCTAGAGAATCAAGTTCCAAGATGGCGCAGTCTGATGGCTTTGGCAGGAAAGCTCAGGTCCGTGCCATGCACACCTCTCCAGATGATTGTTATAAGTGTCCTAAGATAAAATTAAAAATGTCTAGTTAAACTTGAATTTTAGGTAAGCAGTTACTTGAACTTTACGATTTCAGGCAAAAAGCATAAATAAAATTTGGTATATCCCCAATATTGCAAGGAATATATTTATACCAAAAAAAAATCATGCATTATTTATCGGAAATTCACATTTAACTGCTTCTTATATTTTTATTTGATAAACATGGCAACTTTGTCTGATGGCATGGAAGCTGACTTCTCATACATCAAGTGATCCAAAAGAGGAAGTTGTTATGATTCCTAAATTATTTTTTGTGAGTCATATGTCATTACTCCTACTGCATTTTATCCACTAGAAGCAAGACACAGAGTCTGGCACACAGGCAAGGGGCAGAGAATAAGTCTCTGCTTTTTGTAAAGAGGCTTGTAAAATAATCTGTAGATATTTGAGAACAATAAAAAATATAAACACTGAATGCCTTTATATATTCTAATAAAATCCTTTTCTGTTCAACATTGACCTTGGTTGTTCTTTACATGCATAAATACACACGCACACACACACGCGCACACACACACGCACACACACACACAATGGTCATTACTTCATGGAACTGCATTCATTATAATCTGTGATAACACAAGTCGTTAAATACCTTATGATGATATGATCAATTTAGGCATTACCTTCATTTATATATTTTTTAGTGCTGCAATAAACATATGTGTGCATGTGTCTTTATACTAGAATGATTTATAATCCTTTATGCATATACCCAGTAATGGGATTACTGGGTCAAATGGTATTTCTGATTGTAGATCCTTGAAGAATTGCCATACTGTCTTCTGCAATGGTTGAACTAATTTATACTCCTACCAACAGTATAAAGGCGTTTCTATTTCTCCACATCCTCACTAGCATCTGTTGTTTTCTGACTTCTTAATGATCACCATTTTAATTGGCATGAGATGGTATCTCATTGTGGTTTTGATTTGCATTTCTCCAATGACCAGTGATCATGAGCTTTTCTTCATATGTATGTTGGCCACATAAATGTCTTCTCTTGAGAACTGTCTGTTCATGTCCTTTGTCCACTTTTTGATGGGATTGTTTTTTTCTTGTAAATTTAAGTTCCTTGTAGATTCTGCATATTAGACCTTTGTCAGATGGATAGATAGCAAAAATTTTCTCCCGTTCTGTAAGTTGACTGTTCACTCTGATGATAGTTTCTTTTGCTGTGCAGAAGATCTTTAGTTTAATTAAATCCCATTTGTCAATTTTGGCTTTGTTGCAGTTGCTTTTTGTGTTTTAGTCATGAAGTCTTTGCCCATGCCTATGTCCTGAATGGTATTGCCTAGGTTTTCTTCTAGGATTTTTATGGTTCTAGGTTTCACTTTTAAGTCGTTAATCCATCCTGAGTTAATTTTCATATACGGTATAAGGAAGGGGTCCAATTTCTGTTTTCCCAACACCATTTGTTAAACAGGGAATCGTTTCCCCATTGTTTGTTTCTGTCAGGTTTGTTGAAGATCAGATGGTTGTAGAGGTGTGCTGTCATTTCTGAGGCCTCTGTTCTGTTCCATTGGTCTATATCTTTGTTTTGGTACTGGTACCATTCTGTTTTGGTTACTGTAGCCTTGTACTGTAATTTGAAGTCAGGTAGCATGATGCCTCCAGCTTCGTTCTTTTGCTTAGGATTGTCTTTGCTATATGGGCTCTTTTTTGGTTTCATATGAAATTTAAAGTAGTTTTTTCTAATTCTGTGAAGAATGTCAATGGTAGCTTGATGGGAACAGCATTGAATCTATAAATTACTTTGGGCAGTATGGCCATTTTCACAATATTGATTCTTCCTATCCATGAGCATGGAATGTTTTTCCATTTTTTTGTGTCGTCTCTTATTTCCTTGAGCAGTGGTTTGTAGTTCTCCTTGAAGAGGTCCTTCACGTCCCTTGTAAGTCGTATTCCTAGGTATTTTATTCTCTTTGTAGCAATTGTGAATGGGAGTTCATTCATGATTTGGCTCTCTGTTTGTCTATTATTGGTGTATAGGAATGCTTGTGATTTTTGCACATTGATTTTATATCCTGAGACTTTGCTGAAGTTGCTTATCAGCTTAAGGAGTTTGGGGGCTGAGATGATGGGGGTTTTCTATATATAAAATCATGTCATCTGCAAATAAAGACAATTTGACTTCTTCTCTTCCTATTTGAATACCCTTTATTTCTTTCTCTGGCATGATTGCTCTGGCAAGAACTTACAATACTATGTTGAATAGGAGTGGTGAGAGAGGGCATCCTTGCCTTGTGCCAGTTTTCAAAGGGAATGCTTCCAGCTTTTGCCCATTCAGTCTGATATTGGCTATGTCTGTCAAAAATAGTTCTTATTATTTTGAGATATGTTCCATCAATACTTGGTTTATTGAGAGATTTTGGCATGAAGGGGTGTTGAATTTTATTGAAGGCCTTTTCTGTATCTATTGAGATAATCATATAGTTTTTGTCAATGGTTCTGTTTATGTGATGGATTATGCTTATTTATCTGCATATGTTGAAACAGCCTTGCATCCCAGGGATGAAGCCGACTTGATTACGGTGAATAAGCTTTTTGATATGCTGCTGGGTTCAGTTTGCCAGTATTTTATTTAGGATTTTCGCATCGATGTTCATCAGGGATGCTGGCCTGAAATTTTCTTTTTTTGTTGTGTCTCTGTCAGGTTTTGGTATCAGGATGATTCTGGCCTCATAAAATGAGTTAGGGTATCGGGATGATGCTGGCTTCATAAAATAAGTGAGGGAGGAGTCCTTCCCTTTCTGTTGTTTGGAATAGTTTCAGAAGGAATGGTACTAACTCCTCTTTGTACCTCTGGTAGAATTTGGCTGTGAATCCGTCTGGTCCTGGGCTTTTTTTGGTTGGTAAACTATTAATTACTGCCTCAATTCAGAATTTGTTATTGGTCTATTCAGGGATTCAACTCCTTCCTGGTTTAGTTCTGCCTTTAGTTTTATTCCTAAAGAAGATATGTGTACATATGTGTGTGTATGTATATATAGTTAAGTGCAACTATATATATTTAGTTTACAGTTATTTGTATATATGATCTATTCTATTATTTTAAATTTTATTAAAAATGTGTATTATCGGCCGGGCGCGGTGGCTCACGCCTGTAATCCCAGCACTTTGGGAGGCCGAGGCGGGCGGATCACGAGGTCAGGAGATCGAGACCATCCCGGCTAAAACGGTGAAACCCCGTCTCTACTAAAAATACAAAAAATTAGCCGGGCGTAGTGGCGGGCGCCTGTAGTCCCAGCTACTTGGGAGGCTGAGGCAGGAGAATGGCGTGAACCCGGGAGGCGGAGCTTGCAGTGAGCCGAGATTGCGCCACTGCACTCCAGCCTGGGCGACAGAGTGAGACTCCGTCTCAAAAAAAAAAAAAAAAAAAAAAATGTGTATTATCATGAATGTTAATATTTTTCACTTAATATTTTTGTTGTCATTCATCCATATTGATGCTAGTGGTAAGGCTTTATTTATTAAGACTGTTTTATTATGTTCAATTATTTTATTATGTTACAGTTTATTCATTCATTTACTCTCCCATCAATAGGCATTAAGATTGTTTCCCAAACTATCGCAAGGACAAAAAACCAAACACCGCATGTTCTCACTCATAGGTGGGAATTGAACAATGAGAACACATGGACACAGGAAGGGAAACATCACACACCGGGGCCTGTTGTGGGGTAGGGGGTGGGGAGAGGGATAGCATTAGGAGATATACCTAATGTTAAATGACGAGTTAATGGGTGCAGCACACAAACATGGCACATGCATACATATGTAACTAACCTGCACGTTGTGCACATGTACCCTAAGACTTAAAGTATAATAATAAAAAAATTATTTCCAATATTTTGCATAAACAATGCAGCTGTGATCATACTTACGTCATTTAATATACATGTTCAAAAGATTCATTTCCATATATACTTCAGATGGGATTACTTTATAAGTAATTGTTGTGGACAAGAAAAGCAAGCCTATACCCAGATAAGTACCTGTTCTTATGTGAATGAGCTTCTAGCTCTCATAATGAAAGGGATCCACCTTGATATGCAGTGACTGGTTGGCACCTTGAACAGTAATGCTTGACATTGGTCATTCTTGCTGGCAACTTAAATGTTCAGATATGGCTAAATCTGCCTGGATGAGTAGGAACCATGCTGTTGGACCCATCAGAAGCCTCCATCTCTGTCACTATAGCTATTCTGTTTGTGTGCCTGTAATGGCAGTTTTGAGATAATTAATGGCAAAGCTTGGCGAATAGCAACTAAGCAAGTGATTTTGTGTACTTGATTGTTCAGTGTCTTTTCCCTGATGGATTTTTGTTTTGGTGGACATTAACTAAAAGAAAAATCACCACACTTCCAGCCTGCTTCTTTATACCTGCATCTAACGTGGTCTTCCTTGTCTCAGAGCTTTGAGTCTTTTTTCCTTTTAGGCATCTGACAAGCTGGCCAGCCCTTTTGCCATTTTCCATGACTCTCTAAATATTCTCAGCTCAGGCCATTTCTCCTTCAACATAAATTACAGAATCAAGGGGCACCTCTTGAACTTCTGTTTGGATTTTTGTTTGTTCATTTGTTTTGCCAGAGTGGAGGCATTTTTAATTTATTTTATGTATTTATTTGTGTGTTTTAATTTATTATCATTATTATTATTATTATTATTATTATTATTATTATTATTATTTTGAGACAGTCTTACTCTGTCTCTCAGGCTAGAGTGCAACCTCCACCTCCCAGGGTCAAGTGATTCTCGTGCCCCAGCCACCTGAGTAGCTGGGATTCCAAGTATTCACAACCATAGCCAGCTAATCTTTTGTATTTTTAGTGGAGACTGGGTTTCCCCATGTTGGCCAGGCTGGTCTTGAACTTCTGGCCTCAAGTGATCCACCTGCCTCAATCTCCCAAACTGTGGGGATTACAAGAATGAGTCACTGTGCCCAGCCCTCTTCAACTTCTGCCCATTGAAAAGATTTTCCCTTGGCACCATCTCTCAAGGTCATGCCTGAGTATATAGCTTTACTCAATCTGACATCCATTTTTGGCTTGCATACCACATACTGAGCTGGCCCATCCATAAAGCATGTTTTGAATTTATTTCCTTATTTTGGTGGTTGCACAGGACCCTTTCATATGGCATAGGTTTGTCTTGAGGGAGAGATCCTGGTATAATAGTGACTTGTGACGTGGGGTTTTAGGCTTACTCAATTTGTTCTTGCCCTGTGGTCTTGCTCAAGCTTGATCCTGGATATACCATTTTCATCACCTGGTGAATTGCTGCTGGGCCTGCCCAAATGTGTTGCTTGCTAGGTCTGACAGAACACAACTCATCAGGCCGGGCATGGTGGCTCAAGCCTGTAATCCTAACACTTTGGGAGGCCGAGGCGGGTGGATCATCTGAGGTTAGGAGTTCGAGACCAGCCTGGCCAACATGGCAAAACCAAGTCTCTACTAAAAATACAAAAATTAGCTGGGCATGGTGGTGGGTGCCTGTAATCCCAGCTACTTGGGAGGCCGAGGCAAGCATTTGAACTGGGGAGGCAGAGGTTGCAGTGAGCAGAGATTGCTCGACTGCACTCCAGCCTCGGCAACAGAGTGAAACTCTCAAAAAAAAAAAAAAAAGTTCTTTTACTTTCCCAAGACACTAATGGTCAAGCATTTTGTCTTTACCTTTACCAAGACCCGTTAATGCACTAGGAGCTGTTTATAAAGGTTGTCTAATACTCCACTGATAATCACATGGACTCACTCCTGAACTGTGATTTTCTCACTGGGAAGCTACATGCCAGCACATAACATCTTTTCTCACCACTGATATTTCCACCACTACAGGGTCTGTTGCATCATATGGTCCAAGCACTAGGCATGCTTGACACTAGTCTGCCCCTCCTGGAGAGTCATTCCTTGCTTTTGGTCTCACTCAATGCTGGAAATTTGAAGCTGTGAGGCTAAAGCAGGAGTGCAAAGTGTCAAATATGTTCACTGCAGAATCTGAACAGTCTTACCGGGTGTTGTGGTTCTTTCTTTGTGGTAGAGGATACAAGATGCGGCAGTTTGCCTCTTACTTTGAAGGGTATATTCCTGCATACCCCCGATCACTAGACCTTTAAAAACTTTACTGATGTGATAGACCCCTAACGTGCACAGGTTACAAATCTGAAAACTGGCTCGTATCTAGAAACTAGGCAAGGTTTGGTTTGTTTAGTTTTTAACTAAGCCAACTACCCTCAGTTCTCTCTGCATCCATTCTTGCTTTCCTTTGATTTTGTATTAAGCACCACCCTGATTGGCTGTCTGTCCACTTGTCTTCTGTCAGTGCTGTATTTTATGGAACATCTTCAGAACTCTGTGTGGATCAAGACCTCTCACCTGCTACTCCCACACTGTCAGTTTTTAAGTCATTTTGAACCCCTGGGTTCCAGAAGGCTTCTATTGATTTGTGGCCCCCACATCCTCATTGCTATGATTAATGAGTAAAATTTTAGGATAGCGTCTTTTACTCAGTGCTGGCCTGCTTAGAAGATAACCGCTATGACACACTGACACAGATTGTCTGATTGTCTTGACCCTGATTGTCTGTCATGAGAATATTATGACTTCGGTGAATAGTGTCCTCTTAGCTTTCTCTAGAAACATAATACTTCTGGCCTTACGTAATGTAACCACTGTAACATCCTTACTTACCTGAACCTTTTACTTCCTTCTTTAAGCATCTGTCCTTGTAATTTAAATCTCTCAACTTGGTTCAGAGTAGGTCATCACTTTCCCCTAGCTTCTAGAAGCTATGCTACCTGCAAATTTTCTCCATCCCCTAGGAACTTGCCAGAGTTTTAAATTCCTTATCTCAAGAGAGTAGCCCCAAACTGATGATTCTTTCTTATCAAGCCCTATGTTCCAGATCCTTTGATCAAATGCCATCAACATTCAGTCTGGTATGTGCTGGCTAATTCTTGTGGGTCCTTTGAAGTATTCTAGTACTTCAAAGTATTGTCTCTATTGTCAGGCCTAGCGTGTCCGTGGCTGGGTTATTGGCTTAATAGGCATAAGTGGAGCTGGAACACATCTGGGTGAGTATCCAAGCTGCCTTGTGGCAGACAGACCTATGCAGTCTGTCCTCATACAGGGGAGTGTTAGCTCTTTCTAGCGAGGGGTACATTGATTCTGCTGGCCCTAAAAGTTAAGAGCAATCTGGAGAACAAACATCTTTGGAGCACTCACCTATATGCTCCCATCGTATTTGTCAGGGTCCAAGTTTTTCCCAACAGAGCCCTTGGCCATGGCTTAGCTGATGTAATTCAATCACCTTTGAAGTTTGATGACAATGGCAATGCTGTTCTAAATTTGGTTCTCAGGTTTTATACCCTCCTACTGTAAGATATAAGGGCCTCTTTCTATACTACCAACTTTCTAACTCACTCATTTTCAGGCTTAGGATTTTATTTATTATTTAGATCTTATGTAAATTATTTAACATTTTTTCTTCAATTTCTAAATAGCTGGGAATTTTACCTTTTTGTTGTACACATGTAATAGAACTGAATCAGGTTTAGCTAACATGCCTGATTTAATACAAGTTCCTTAAATCTTATTGAGTTTTTCTGTATTCCTTAGTAGATGATTAATTTTATAGTCTATACCTACCTGCACAGGGAAGGTAATATATCACCTACTTTTTGGGTGCATAACTATAATTGCCTTAGTTTATGCTTGTGATCTCTGAAATGTATATGTTTCTGTCCTTTCTGACATTTTGATTTCTTTTTTTAAAAAATTCAACTTTTATTATAGATGAAAGGATACACATACAGATTTGTTACACAGATAAATTACATGACACTGAGGCTTGGAGTCCCAACTATCCCATCACACAGTCTATAAGCATGGTCCCCAACAAGTGATTCTATGCATCCCTCCCCCTCCCTCCCCCATCTAGTGAGCCACTCTGTGTCTATTGTTCTCATCTTTGCAATCATGTGTATTCAATGTTTAGTTCCCACTTATAAGTGAGAACATTTCATTTTCTGTGCTTGCATTAGGTTGCACAGGGTAATGGCCGTCAGCTCCATCCATGTTTCATGGGCATGATTCTGTTGTTTTTTATGGCTGTATAGTATCCCATGGTGTATATGTACCCCATTTTCTTTATCCAGTGTACCGTTGATAGATACTTAGCTTGATTCCATGTTGTTGCTATTGTGACTAGCACTGCATTGAACATATGAGTACATGTGTCTTTATGATAGAATAAATTATTTTCTTTTGGGTACATACCCAGTAATGGGATTGCTGAGTCGAACAGTAGTTCTATTTTACATTCTTTGAGAAATCTCCAAACTGCTTTTCACAGTGGCTAGACTAATTTACATTACAAGCAATTGTATATAAATGTTCATTTTTCTCTGCAACCTTGCCAACATCCATTATTTTTTGACATTTTAATAATTGCCATTCTGACTGGTATGAGATGGTATCTCATTGTGGTTTTAATTTGCATTTCTCTGATGACTAAGTGATATTGAGATTTTTTTCATATATTTGTTGGCTACTTGAATGTCTCTTTTTGAGAAGTGCCTGTTCGTGTATCTTGCCTGTTTTTTAGTTGGAATGTTTGATTTTTGTTTGCTGATTTACGCTTCTTATAGGTTCTGGATATTTGACCTTTGTCAGACGCATAGCTTGCAAATATTTTCTCCATTCTGTAGGCTGTTTTTTCTTCTGTTGGAAATTTCTTTTGCTCTGCAGAAGTTCTTCATTTTAAATAAGTTCCATTTTTTCTCAATTTTTGTTTTTGTTACAATTGCTTTTGGTGACTTAGCCATAAATTCTTTGCCAAAGCTGACTTCAAGATGGGTATTTCTTAGATTTTCTTCTAGGATTTTTATAATTTGAGGTCTTAAATTTAAATCTTTAATCCATCTTGAGTTAGTTTTCATATAGAGTAAGAGGTAGGGGTCCTGTTTCATTCTTCTGCATATAGATAACCAGTTATCCCAGCATCATTTATTGAATAGGGAGCCCTTTCCCCATTGTTTATTTTTGTTGATATTGATATTGTCATAGATCAGATGGTTGTAGGTGTGTGGATTTATTTCTGTGTCTTATATTCTTTTCCACTCATCTATTGTCTGTTTTTGTACCAGTACCATGCCGTTTTAATTACTGTAGCCTTATAGTATAGTTTGACATCAAGTAATGTGATGCCTCCAGCTTTGATCTTTCTGCTTAGTATTGCTTTGGAAATGCAGGCTCTTTTTGGTTCTAAATTAATTTCTAAATTTAAATTCATGCTTAAGTTCCTGCCGATGCAGTGGGGCCCCTATGTATTCATGAGGGTAAGGTCCCAGCAGGGGTGGGGCAGAGGCAGGGGGCTACAACTTCCATGCACACACTTGTATGGCAGCAGCAGTTGCAGTGTGACAGGGCCCTAAAATTCTTGATTCTAAGTTAGTTACTTTAATTTAATGAAATTAAATTAGAATTCTTGATTCTAAGTTACTTTAATTTAATGAAAGAATATTTGTTTGTCTTCTTGCATCCTAGCTAATGTTGAATATTCTGGTTTCAATCTAACTCTTGCTGCTTTGTAGGTAATCTACTTTTTGGTTTTTTTCTCTTTGTAAGCTATTCAAATGTTCCCAGTTCTCTTATTCTTATTGTTATTCAATCTCTACTATATGGTGTGTAGGTGAACCCCTCTCTGAATCTACTCTCCTTTATCAACATCTAGGAGTTCCAGTTAAAAGAAGTATTTTACATTTTTGAAAAAATTTTGAATGTTATATCTCCATTATGGCTTCCAAAATTTACTTCTTTCATCTCCCTCTCTAACTGTCTCTCTCTCTGAACTCCCTGTTCTCTGAGTGTTATCACTTCTACCTCCATTCTCCATATATCCTATCTCTTTAAATGTATAATACAATATAAAAATATATTAAAATATATTAATTTATGCATTTTCCTTTTGCATTCTATACAATGCTTTCTTCTAATTCCTTATTGCATCTGTATGTATTTTAACCCCAATATTATGTTTAATACCTAACACTTTCGCTTAGCTTTTCCCAGGTTTTAAAAATATATATTAATAATAAATTCCCTTATTTCTTTTAGCATATTTTTAGATAAATTCAGAAGTATTTATCTCTGTATTCTAATGTATCTGTCTGTGATGGAATCAACAATCCAATATGTTTTTCTTTTCCTTTGAAATAATTATGTTTTTCAAATGCTCTGTTATTCTAGTCTGTGACTTTATTTTCCCCTGGAATATCAAATATTTTTTTAAAACAACAACTGGCTACATTGCTCATCTATTACTCCTCATGGTACTTTAACAAGAGCTCTCTGAGTCATTATACGAATATGAGTAGGTATTATTTGTCCTTCAGTATTTTTATTTCACCATCCTCCCACAGCCATGCCTTATTGTCTCCTACCCCAGGCCAAAGCCACTACCCCTGCCACACATAATGGTTCAAAGTAGCCCCATTAGTTGCTCTAAGGATTTTTCTCAGGCTCTAATTCTCTTCCTTGGTGTCTCTCTTTCATAGATAATTTATGTTTGATATGGGGAAGGGAGACATAGTAGTTTTACTAGTTCAGCAGATTAGTATAAAATGGAAGGACAATGATTTGCAGCCCTTACTATATAGTAACTCATATGTGTAAGTGGGATATATAAACATGTTTTACCAACTTTGACATTGCCTTTTCATTCTAAGATAAAACACAATCAAGAGATTAGCATTTTAAGATATTTAGCTGATGTCAACTCTTTTCTCTGAGGGCAGGACATTTAAGCAGAGACCACAGTGAAATAAAGGCATAAACTAGTTAAAGTTCTAGTAAAAAACACGCAGTCTAAATGAATGAATCTGAAAGTTCAAACCCTTAAAGTTGGATGATCTTGATGTTTCAGAAGAAAACAGAAGGGCCCTTATATGACTAGAATAGATTAAGTGGGAATAGTGGTATATAGAAAAGGTGGAAGACAGACAACAGTTAGATTGCACAGGGGAGGGATTCACAAACTTTTTCTGTAAATGTCCAGACAGTAAATATTTTAGGCTTTGTAGGCCATATGGTTTTCACGGCAATTACTCATCTCTCCTGTAATAGCATGAAAACAGTCATAGACAAAACTGAAACACATGAGTGTAGCTATGTTCCAATAAAACTTCATTTACAAGAAAAGTCAATGGGCACATGAAATAACAGACAAAATAGATAGATTGGGCTAAATCAAAATTTAAAAGTTCTGTGCATCAAAGAACATGATCAACAGACTATAAAGGCAACCTATTGATGGGAGAATACCTGCACATTATATATCTGATAAGTGGTTATTATTAATAATATTTAAGAACTCCTACAAGTCAACAGTAACAAAAATCAATCTGATTAAAAAATGGGAAAGGACATGAATAGACATTTCCCTTAGGAAGATACACAATGGCCAACAAGCATATGAACTGATGCTCAACGTCACTAATCATTAGGGAAATGTAAATCAAAACCACAATGAAATACAGACTCATACCCATGAGGTTCTGGATTATAAAAAAGGAAAGAAAAGAAGTATTGGCTAGTATGTGGAGAAATTAGAATCTTTGTGTAGTCTTGATGGAAATGTAAAATGATGAAACTGCTATGGTAAACATTAGGGCAATTACTCAAAAAACTAAAAATAAAATTACCATATGATCTAGCAATTCCACTTCTGGGCATATACTCAAAAGAACTGAAATCAGGGTCTCAAAGAGATATTTGTGCAATCATGTTAATACCAGGATTATTTACAATAACCAAGGGTTGGAAGCAATCTAAATGTCCACCACTGGATAAATAAACAAAATGTGGCATATATATACAAAGGGGTATTACTCAACCTTAAAAAAGAAGAAAATTCTGACACATGTTACAACATGATGCACCTCTAGGACATCATGCTATTAAAATAAATAAGTCAGAAAAATACAGCCGCTGTATAATTCCATTTATATGAGGTAACTAGAATAGTCAAATTTATAAATACAGACAAAAGAATGATGTTTTCCAGGATCTGGTGGGAGAAGGAACTGAGAGGTGTTTAATGGCTTTAGAGTTTCACTTTTACAAGATGAAAGCATTCCGGAGATTGGATTCATGACAATATAAATGTACTTAACACTACTGTACCATACACTAAAAAATAAATAACATGGTAAAGTTTATGTTATATGTATTTTACTATAATTACAAAAATAAACATAGGCAATGGGCTGGATTTGGCTTATGGGTCATAATTTGCTGACTTCTGGTGTAGGGCTTTGTAAGTCATAATAGGGAATGTGGATTTTATTGTTAAGTGTGAAAAAGAAGATTATAGGATGGTTTCAGCACAGGAATTGCAAGATGTAAGTGCCACTTGTAAAAAATCTTTCTGATTATTCTGAGAAGAAGAGAGTGTAATCAAAAATGTGGAAAATGGAGTAGTGTTTCTATACATTAATAACAAACTTTTCAAAAAAGAAACAAGGAAAACAACCCTATTTACAATAACTATAAAAAATAAAATACCAGGAATAAATTTAACCAAGGTAGTGAAAGAGCTGTACACTGAAAACTATAAGACATTAATGAAAGAAATAAAAAAAAGACTCAAATAAATGGAAAGGTATCCTGTGTTCATGAATTGGAAGAATAAATATTGTTAAAATGACCATACTAACCAAAGTGATCTACAAATTCAGTGGAAAAGCTATCAAAACTTCAATATTTTTTTCATAGAGAAATACATCTTAAAATTAATGTGGAACCACAAAAATCTTGAAATGGCTAAGGGAATTATAAACAAACAAACAAAATAAAACAAAGCTAGAAGCATCACATTACCTGATTTTGAACTATATTGCAAAAGATCAATAATTAAAACAGCATAGTACTGGCATAAAAATAGACTCATTGGCCAGTGGAACAGAAAAGAGTGCCCAGAAATGAACCCAAGCATGTATGGTCAATTGTTTTTTCACAAAGGTGCCAAAAATACACAATGGGAAATTAATAGTCTCTTTAATAAATAATGTTAGGAAAAATGGATGCCATATGCAGAAGAAGGAAATTGTACCTTTAGCTCACACTATATGCAAAAATCAACTCAAAATTAATTAAAGACTTAAACATAAAACCTGAAACTATAAAACTACTGAAAAACTATACGGAAAAAAATACTGTATTGGTCTGAATAATATTTTGTATTTGACCCCAAAGTCCCAGGGTCAAATGGGATTGCAAATGGGATTTCATCAAAATTAAAAGCCTGTGTAAAAGCAGCATGAAGTGACAATTTTAAGCTTCAGGGAAAATACTTGAAGCCATACATTAAAAATGGGCAAAGGACCTGAATAGACATTTCTCAAAAGAAGAAATATAAATGGCCAGCAGATATATTTTTTAAAATGTTTAACATCACTAATCATTAGGAAAATGAAAATTAAAACCACAATTGTATATCACCTCACACTTGTCAGAATAACTATTATCAAAAAGACAAACAACAAGAGATGTTAGTCAGGACATACAGAAAAGGGAGCCCTTGTACACTTTTGGTAGGGATGTAAATTAGTGAAACCATATGGAAAACTGTTTAAAAGTTCCTTGAAAAGTTGAAAATAGAATTACCACATGATCTAGCAATCCCACTTCTGGATATTTACCCTCAAAAATTTGAATAATATGTCAAAAGATGTCTGCACTCCTGTGTTCATTGCAGCACTCTTCACAACAGCCAAATTATAGAGTTAACAAACTGACTGTCCATCAATGGAAGGGTGAGTAAATGAAATGTGGTATGTGTACACAATGGAATACTATTTAGCCTTTAAAAAGGAAGAAAAAAACTTATTTGTGATAATACAGGTTAAACTGGAGAACATTAAGGTAAGTAAAATAAGCCAGGCTCAGAAAAACAAATGTTATATGTTCTCACTTATATGTGGAATCTAAAACAATTGAACTCAAAGAAACAGAGAGTAGAATGGTGGTTACCAGAGGCTGGGAGTTGGGGGAGGAAATGGAAAGGTGATAGTCAAAGAATAAAAAGTCTAAATTAGGTGGAATACGTTTAGAAAATTTTTTTGTAATATATTAAACAGTGTGGTTAATACAGTAAATAATAATGTTTTGTACATTTCAAAATCACTGAGAGTAAATTTCAAATGTTATTACCACAAAAAAGATAAGCATTGAGGTGATGGATATGTTAATTAGCTTGATTTCATTAATTCACATTGTATTCATGGATTATAGTGTCACCTTGTACCCTATAAACACAATTATGGAAGAAGAGAAATCAGAAAGCTATTGAAAAAGTTCAGATGAGACAGGCTAGTAATTGAAAAATGTTGAAATGTAAGAGTGAAGATATATTTTTTAAATAATGCATATAGAACATGCTTATGGGTTATACATAAAGAATGAAAAAGAGAATCAATAATTAATTTCTGGATTTTGGTCAGAAGAAGCCAGTGAATGGTGGAATTATTTGAGTTCAAGAAATACATAGAATGAAAAGATTGGAAAGAAAATCAAGGGTTCTTCTTGTGTATGCTAAGTGAATGTCTATTTTATATACAAAAGGAGATGTCCAAGGCATGAGCTGGGACATGTCATTTTTGAACTCAGGGAAAAGTGAAAGCTAAAGATACACACAAACATACACACACACACACACAAGAGAGAGAGAAAGAGAGGTGGGAGGAAAGAGTTGGCAGCATGTATTTATGTTTTTCAAGTCATGTGATTGAGAAGAAAAGGAGTTTCCAGGAAAGAAGCAGTGAATATGACAGAAGGATGATCGAAAAAAATGGCAGTGTCCTGGAAATAAAGTGAATAAATGAGTCTTTGCTTGCAACACCAGCTAAATGATGACAAGATGCCAAGTTAGATGTGAACTGATAAGTGATCAATGAGTTTGCAAAATGATAGTCACTGAAAGCAATCTTGTTAAGGTCTTCAGCGGATTGATGGGGACGAAGAAGAAAGCTTAATAGGGTTGGCTAAAGAGAAAATGCAAAGATAAAAAGTTGAAACATAACATATAGATGTCTGTGATATTTTAAAGCTAATATTGACATATGATCCTTTTCATAATTTAGTTGTTTATTGAGTTATAATTTACATACAGGAAAATTCATCTTTTTTGTTATGCAGTTGTATAAATTTTCACAAATATGGACAGTCATTTAATTACCAGCAATCAAGATATAGAACTGGTCTATCATGCCTCCAAATTTCATCATGCTTCTTTTAGTCAAGGTAGTGCTGGTAATGTCAAAATTACTAAGTCTCAGCCGGGAGTAGTGGCTCATGCCTGTAATCCCAGCACTTTGGGAGGCCGAGGAGGGTGGATCACCTGAGGTCAGGAGTTTGAGACAAGCCTGGCCAACATGTCAAAGCCGTGCCTCTACTAAAAATACAAAAATTAGCTGGGCATGGTGGCGGGCGCCTGTAATCCCAGCCACTAGGGAGGCTGAGGCAGAAGAATAACTTGAACCTGGGAGGCGGAGGTTGCAGTGAGCCGAGATAATGCCATTGCACTCCAGCCTAGGAGACAGAGCGAGACTCCATCCTCCGCCACCAGAAAAATTTTACTAAGTCTCTAGTTTTAATGTAACATATCTCATAATAATAAACATTATATTACAGAAATTCAACCAGAAATTAACCTTGTTAATCACTGAATTGCTTTGTGAACACTATGTAAAGCAATTTTTTATGTATACGAAAGTAGACTGTGAATAAACCAAGACAGAAACTTAACAGTAAATGACTGGACAGTCATTTAAATTAGTAGTAGCTCAGAAAGTCCCTAACTATGCTGTTAAAAAGTGGAGGCAAATAATTTATGGGAAGAAGTTCTTTTAAATAATTATTCAGAGACTCTTTTATGTATAGTTTAATGAACCTTAGGAATCTTTTCTTGGTCATTTGTTAGTGATGCATGGATGTAAAATTGGGAAATATTAAATCATAGACTGAAGGAAAAATACGTGTTGTATTCACACTTTGTTTTACTATTTGTTGTACTCTAGAAGCACATAAGAAATTGTTTAAAACATTACTTTGTGTAAGAAGTATCACAAAGCTGGAATATGGAATATGATTTGGGAAATTGTTTGAAATATCTAAAGGTAATAAAAGGTGCTCAGCATTCAGAATCCCTAAAATAACCTCTACCTCACTTTAAACAGTCTGCCTCCCCTGAAGAGTAGAAAGAACAAAGGACTGATGTTTAGCCATTTTATAGTGGCAAACTGCATAAACCCATAAGTATATGTATTGTTCACATTTATTTTAAAAAATAATAGAAGAAATGAAAAATATGCCCAATTTAATCATCTGCTCTGGAAAAACACAATGACAAGTTCTTCTTCTGGTACTGATTTCAGATAGAATCCAAGTGCACATTCCTGCTCAGCGAAGAATATAATGCTTTCACACCACTTTTCTGTCCGTAAAAGCTGACAGTGGAATGAGCACGATCTTAATAATATCCTCCAAATGAAAATGAAAGTGAATGTCAAAAATAATGATGGGAGAGGGTTTCAAAGCTTGGAAGCCCAATTTTAGTGAGAGGAAAACAGCATTTCTAATAAATCCTTGTATTATTTATTTCAAAGTACCTCAGGCAGGATCTTTGTATAAAAATTGAGGCTGAAGATTTAAGGGTCGGTTTCAATAATTCTTAGAAATTAATTAATTAATATCTGTTTTCTACTCTAATGTGGGAATAAATCATAAAAATTAAAACTTTGCGGAATCCTAGTTTTCATTCTGTATCAAATCTACTACCTTTCTGCCACCTCCATGCCTCCCAATACACCGGCATAAGCCTTTTACCAACAATCCACTTGCATCTTTCAAAAAATTATCCTTTGAAGCTATTGTTTAGATCATAGACTGCAGAGAAGAAATACAAGCATTAGAAGATGAAGAGGGGCAGTATAAAAATAAAAAATTATAACATGAACACATTCAACTGCATAGTAATCAGAAGCATATAGGTCAACTAGTTGAGAAGCAAAAAACTAGAACGATACATTTCAATGGCATCATAAACTCACATTGTATTTTTCTATAAAATAATAGTAAAGAAGGATGGGCACAGTGGCTCATGCCTGTAATCCCAGAACTTTGGGAGGCCAAGGCGGGTGGATCACGAAGTCAGGAGCCCGAGACCAGCCCGGCCAACGTGGTGAAACCCTGTCTCTACTAAAAATACAAAAAATTATCCAGGCGTGGTAGCAGGCACCTGTAATCCCAGCTACTCAGGAGGCTGAGGCAGGAGAATCGCTTGAACCTGGGAGGTGGAGGTTGCAGTGAGCTGAGATCGCACCACTGCACTCCAGCCTAGGTGACAGAGCTAGACTCCATCTCAAATAATATCAATAATAATAATAATAACCTAGGCAGTTTGTGGTTCTATAAAGGAGGGGTGAAATGAAGAGAACCAAGCACTGAGTATGACGGATTTCTAGAATTCTTAAGTTCCACCCTTCAAAAGTTGTGCCATTGATGATATGTGTACCATTTATTTACTGTATTTATTTTTAGCTTATAATTTCATGATTAGTACCTCTTATTTATTATTACACCTATATTAAAATATAGGAAATAATATACCAACAGTTATCCAAATATTACCTAAAATAAGCTTGTACGATTCCTGGTAAATGTACCACTTATTGGAAAACACTGAGATAGATAAGCTTGTGACTATTTTTCCCCATTTAGTCATTACAGAATTAAGACTTGTTATGTATAAAATCCTTCACTAGGCATTGGAAAATAAAGGCTAATTGGACATTGTCTTAGTTCTTGTGGCACTCAAGATCCAGTAGGAAAAAAAAAAAAAGAAACTTTATCAATTTAGGCTGGATCATTCCTATGATCCCTTCCAACACTGATTCTATGATGTTCTGTCTCAAAGAAGCAAGTTGGAAGCCGGGCTTACAAAATATCTAGTCCTTTGACATCTCTGATATCTCTAGAAGGACTGAACTTTCATCTGATATTCAAGATCTTGAAAGAGCAATTTAAGGGAAAAAAAAGCTTCTTCCCAGAATGTATTATAAATCTATTAGATATATAGAAAGAAAAGGTCACTGAGTTAAGCGAGCCAGGAAGTTTATATTCAAGAACAATATGTGTAGTTATGAATGTAATGAAACCTTTTGCTTCAAGAATTAATTTCCCCAATGTATAGTTGGCTGAATAATTGGCCCCGTGAACGCAGACAAGCTTTCTTATTTCTCAAAAGCAATATTGGCCAGTGCTCATTTGAACGCACATGACTTTTTGTGGGATGGCACATGCCATGCTCCTGTGAAGCAAATTGAGCTTGTGGTAGTTGTCTGCAAGTGGTAGAGACATGGGAAATAGTCTGTCACTCAGCATCAATTTAAAATTTAATACCAAATATTCTTGTTGTCAAAAACTCTTAGTACATGAGTCCTAACATGGACAGTGCTTCAATTCTGATGTCACTGCCAAATTACTCTAGTTTAAGACAAAGGAGATTCAGATATTTAAGCCCTGATGCCTACTGAGGCTTGAATTTAGAGATATGCTTTCTATATTCTGAAAAATTGCTTTTGAAATGTAGTTTCTCTAAATTTATGTTTAAGATACAGGAAGCAATTTAGTATTTTGGTTCTATTAACCTCCTTTGAAACCACAAATTTGTTTTAATTTCAAGTGCTCTTACAATGACAAAGTCAAATGAGTGCTTTCTTGAGGAAAGTGTTTAGCATAATAGTAGACGGTGTTGTCATTATCAGAAGGGAGAATTTTCTGTCTCATTTGTCAACTTCACACTGTGAACCCCCAAAAGAGTTGTCTTCAAAATAATTGCCCTTGTTGCTTCTCTTTACAGAGTTCTCCCCACATTATTAATGGTATGGGAATTAGGAGAAGGTCATCTGACTCACATGGATCACCATATAATTCCTTCTGGAGAACAGGTAAGTTCTTGGTCAAAGAATTCAGGGACACTTGTCTAGACTATTTTTTAGAAAGCAATAACTCTGAAGAGTAAGAGAGATATATTTGAAATTACTGTAGCCCTTTGTCTAAGAAAGCTATATAACAGGGTGAAAAATCAGTTAAGGAGAAGGAGACAGAGAAGAAGAAGACAAGGATTGAGGGGGAGGGGGAGGATGAGGAAGAGGAGAAGGAGGAGAAGAAATAGAAGGTGGAGGAGGAGAGCAACCCTAAAAATAAAAAAAAAAAAACTTATTCTTTCTATTTTGTTATATGTGGGAATTATTGTGGACATAAGAAACAAAGAATTGAAAAAAGCCTGAGTTGTAAAGGGGGAAAACAAATAACTTTGTAATGAAATAATTTGAGGTTTGAATTTTCTTAGCCATTGGAATTTAGCCAGGGTGGTTAACTTATCTGCTCTAAGATTTCTAATTTGAAAAGATGAAAATAATATTTGGCATATTTTGGTTGATAAATTCTTAATAAAGTGTTTGGTATCTACTAAGTGCTTGAAAGGGATCTGTATAATCAATAATACCATTATCTATGGCACATAGAGGTGACATAGTCATGCTTTAGGCATAAGCAGACATTCCTGCATGATGAAACTTACAGGAATGATGCTCCCAAAGAGAAAAGCGAAGGAGTTCATACTCTTGATGACCTCCTTACTCCTTACCATCCATTAAAACTCAGGATCAGGCAAAACCTCACAAGAATATGTGGTTTCTTGAATTTATAAAACCTAAATTTTTGATATCTGGGGAAACTATTTACCACCTGATTCAGGAGTTCCCAGAAGCAACATTAACCAGAGGAACACAGCTGCCTGGATATTTTTTGCTCTTGGACAAGTAATCATAACTTGAAAAGATTAGTGGGTCTTGGCACTACATATTTAACCTTGACTCTTTTTGACTATAACATCACTTTTAGCCACTAATTAGTAAAAATTAGCTCCTACCATGGGTATCTTTTTTATTTTGGAATGGATATCTGTTAGTCTTTCCACTAGCATTTTTTTTCTTGGATACTATTGGCCCTGCTTTTAGAAACAAATGAAATCTTTAAACTTGAAGTGAACCTTAAGCTAATCAATGTTAGAGGTTGTCAAGTTTTTTTAAAATAAATCAATATCTCCAATAAAAGTCTCAAGCAGATGACTAATACATAAAACAGATGAAAGTAAACTTGCTTTGTTTGAAGTAGCATGAGTTTGGTGTTCTATTCACATATCCTTTCTTCACTGCACAAAATCTGTTATTTTTGTTGGTCTTATGAGCTTCCCATTGCATAGAACATGGCTGTACAGAGAGTTGTGGCCCGAAGTTTTGGATTACATGAAGTTTGCCAGGTGAAGGTCATTAAGGGGAAGGTTTGAAGTGAGAATGTTATATAAACTGCATCATGTTTGCAAGCAGTTGCAGTTTGTCTGTCCAGTCCACTGCCACTGGACCATATGTAAGGTGGATATGTTTTCCAGCTGACCACCAATGGACTGTAGGAAAGTAGATATCGTGTCTAGCCCATCACCACTGGACCAATTCTGTACATCAGGTGGTTCTCCTGTCCAGCCTGTCACCACTGGACTCTCCCCTGTATGTGAGCCCCTAATAAAATGCCAAGTCTCCAAAAAAATTTCATTTTTATTTTTTATAAAATCATTGTTTTCTTTAAAGAATTATTTACACCTCAGTTCATGTATCTCTATGGAGGTTATCAGGCATGTTTCCTCTTCTGTCTCATCATCATGACAACCTAGACTGACCTGTCATATTACACTGTCCCTCTTGCCTGTTGGAATGACAGCAAGACATGTCTTATCTTTACTGTGATTTGGTTATATGGATGCTAGAGAGGGCATGATTATACATCATTGAAATCAAAAGTTGAGCTAGGTGTGGTGGTGCATGCCTGTAGTCCCAGCTATTCAGAAGGCTGAGGCAAGAGAATTGCTTGAGCCCAGGAGTTCGAGGCTGCAGTGAGCTATGATCATGCCACTGCACTCCAGGCTGAGTGACAGAGTGAAATCCTGTCTCAAAAACAAAACAAAACAAAACAAAACTAATTATTTTTTAAAATTAATAAAACCAAACAAAAAACAAAGTTTTAAGTTGTTAGGCTTAGAGTAGCTTAACATAGCATGATGCTTCCTGATAATAAAGTGAGCACACAGAGAGTAATACAGTCAAGAATCCCAGTGGCATGATTTTACTACTAGATCCAGATGGCCCAAGCCGAGATCCCACTCCCCCATATGTTTGAATACTGGTGTATTATTAGTTACTTAATAGTTTTTAGATTTATTTTACTTATTGATGCATCCTTCAGTGGTTCCTGGAAGAGACCTGAGACCCTCTCCTTCACCTCATTTTCTTCATCATTCTCTGGCTTAGACATGGATCTCATTTCATTCTAAAGTAACAGTTTTCTATAATGACATGCATTCCATAAGAACTAGCAAGATTTTCTTTGAAAGTCCATATATAGTAATTTCCAGAAAGAGAAGCTATTTATCTTTCTAAAATATTTGTCGTTCAGGAACTAGAAATGTACACAATTAACTGGCCATGACGGAGATTAATGTATCTTACAAATATAGGGGAATATCATTACCAGTCGTTTCTTCAGATTACACAACATGAATCATTTCAAAATTCACCTTGAGTATAATTTCTTAGCAAATGCTGAGAAACCAAATGTGGTATTTTCAAATTAACCTGGATATCAGAATGGAACAACACTACACACACACACACACACACACACACACACACACACACACACACACACACCCCTCACAAAATACATTCCTCCTTGTTACTCTGTATTTTGTGAAGATATCATATGTTTTACTTCTTCTTTAAACAATGGAAACAAACGAAGCGTACTAAGAAAGGGATCTATGTATTCCTACATCTTTAAGACTTCAAAATAATTATTAGATAGCCATTCAGATCAAACTTGAGGAAATCGTGAGGTTATTAGAAAGGTCATTGTCATTTCTTTGTTCATTAATTATTGCTTTAAGTGTCTGTGAACTACTTAACATTTAGTAGTACAGGGTAATTTGGTATTTTCTTGATTCTTTGGATTCTAAGTGTCAAAGGCCTCTTAACTCATTTGTTGTTCAACATACGTTGATCTTGCGCGTACTATGTGCCAGGTTCTCCGTTGGGTATTAAATGATACAACAGCAATCACAAAGTCAGATAGGTTCCTGCCCTCAAGAAACTAACTACAGTATTCCAAATTCAATATAAACCTTTTGCATTTAATTATTGAAACTAGTCATGTTCTTTAAAGGCTCAAAATGTGGAGACAAGTGCAATAATAAAAAATGTTAATGCTATATGATTCATTCATATTAGTTTTAAAAAATATTTTCTATGTGCCAGGCACCGTATTAGATGTTGAGGATACAGTGACTAGCAAAAAAAAATCCTGCTCTTATGGTCTAGTGGGAAAAATTAAATAGTTGAATAATTTCAATATTAGACAGTAGATCCAGAGCTACCTCTGCAACGTCATATATAGGATATTCTGTCAGCATACCTGAGGTGTGCGATTCAGAGAAGCAGCAGCAGCACATGTGTTGAAGAATGACTCAAAGGCAGCCAGGCAAAGAGTGGTCCAAAGGGGAAAAATGATCAAGGGATAGGGGATGAGGCCCCATATTGTAGAAGATAGCATAGAATACAAGAGATAGAGAAGAGTGAAATAAGGATATAGGGATGAGCTATAGCCTAATCATGAAGGTCTCTGTAAGCTTTCCTAAGATATTTGGAATTGATGAAAAAGGTAAAAGCCAATACTAAAGAGTTTTAAGCCAGGGAATTGTGATTAATTTTTCACCTTAGATACTGGCTGCTGTATGGAAACGGTTTGATGCAGAAACTATTCATATGTTGCATAAAATGCACAGATAGAGAGATAGGCTTTGGAATTATGAGCAGAGTCTTAGAGTAGTAGTTTTAATGCATGCACCCAGACATTCTCCAGTTGTGTACCCTTTATATTATAACATTCTCTAGGTTATTCCTAGGGTATGCCTAGTAGATCAAAAAAGTAGTGGTGTAAAGCATGGTAAATCAAAGAAATCCATTTCTTGTTCAAATTCAAATGCTTAGCAAACTCTACCCTACCACTAGCAATTGCTTTAGTGGAGAGTTAAGATGCCTAATGTAATTAAAGCCATAAAAATAAATGTTTCAGCAAATAAATATTTAAATGCCAGCAAGTGCAAAATGATTAATACTATATAACTCTTAATATTGTTAAGGTGCTATGAGGATGATCTCATTTGATCCTCTCCACAACCCTATGAGATATAGACAATTATTTTTTAAATCACCTATTGAATAAACTGAAATTCAGAAAGATTAAGTAAGTTGGCCAGTAGTACAGCTAGTGGGCAGAAAGGCCAGGATTCAAAACCAGATTGGTTTTATTTCTCCTTTAAAAAAGCAGAAATGAGCTTATTTTATGAAAACTATGGGACAGAAACTCCTGAAATGCCAGAGTCAGTTCCTAGACTTTTGCCTTAAGTTTTTGACCCTTGATCTCTTAAATAGGAAAAGATATTGGGATGACTTTTTTCCATCTCTCTGTACAGAAAAAATGCAGAAGAGGAAAACCTCCATATGTGAAGCTATGGCAAGGGAGTCTCCCCACCCCGCGCTCCAACAGAGTCTGGAGATAAAGTAAGTTTGAGAAGCTAGAAAGTGTTTTTCCCCATTATCTCCCAAACACTGTCATTTGGCTGCATGCAGATTTCACTCTGGCTTTGGCAAATGTGTCCCTTTATGTAACAATAAACAATTATATTGAAAAGCAAGATTGGAGAAAAACATATATAGTATCATTATTAAAACTTTGTGATGATCTTATCAACAAAATTGAAGTTAAACCCTTGATTTATTGTATGTTTTATTATGTCTTCACCCCAGGGAAGGTAATTTGACTTTCTTGATGTTGCCTTCTTTTTCTCTCCTTTCAAAGCTATGATTAAGAACTAATTTATTTAGATCTGTCTGTGATTAGTTGCATGATTCTGCTCCTTGTTGAAATTAATTTTCAGACACTTTAATTGATAGTACCTGTACTATATTTAATGCATTTTGAGGTGCTAGAATAAAAATGTTGCTTGTTGAAATATTCACATATTCACTCTGCTAGCTAGAACACTGATGTATTCTATATCATCTTTTTTTCTTGATTTTATGGAGGAAGAAGATTTAAGTCAATTGTTTGGTTTATTTTCATTTATATTAGGGAAAAATAAGAAAAATTATTTTACAAAATAATACAGTTGTTCTTAAGGACCATAAATGGGCTTTGTGAAGCTTTTGAAATTATGTAAGCACATGTGGGCGTGCACATGCACACACACACACACACACACACACTGATTACTGGGAATGTATCATATAGGTACTTTACTTCAAAAATTTTCAGTGCCTAATCTACTTTTGTATGCTACATGTTTATTAAATCATCTATTTGCTTTAAAAAATACACACTAAGATAATCAATGTCTAAATCACAATTCCTAGGATTTGTGTTTTGAGGCTTATCTAGGATTCAGATCCAAGGTATAATCAGGCTTACACTATGCAACAGGGATTTTGCTAGATATATTAACTAGTTGTCTTTTAACCCTCATGAAACCTTTGTGAGGTTGCATTGCCATGACTATTTTCAAGATGAAAAGATTGAAAAGTTAAATTGACACATAGGGGCTGGTTATTAATTACAGGTTTAGCCATGCTCAAACATTTCAGAAGCTTATATATTTTTATAAATATAATAAGGTCTTTTCTGTTATATTCCTGAATTTTGTTATATTATTTTTTCAGTTAATATCTTCTTGACTTTTTAATTTATTTGTTTTCCATGAGAGATTTCTGTTACAAGCAAAATACATATAGATTCAAATCTATTGTTCTGTTTTATTCTTGAATGTTGTATTGTTAGAAATTATCAGACTTTCTTTGAATTTCCTGGTCTTCTATTTTGTTCCTCTGAGGAAATATGATGTTACTAACTCATCACTCACTGAACTGTATTAAATACCACATTACATACTTTTGACATTCATCATAATAATCAAGCAACTTGTACTGCCTAGTATTTTATTGAACGATCTTTCATATTGTAATGTTACAGTCAAATATTGTGTATTTTAAAGTATTTTAAAATCATTCCACTTTGTGACTGAAAGTATCCTGACAGAAATGCATAGGGAAAAGAGCAATGCAATTTAAATGTCACATTTATCCCTTGCAGTAAATTCTACATTCAGGCAGTTGTAGTCTCAGGGAGGTTTTTCTCTGTCAGGTATCAGCTCTCTGTTAGTTCATACCATAACTTTCACGAAGACTTTCAGAGGCATAGGAAACATATGACTTTAGAATGTGGGCAGTAACAGGCAGATTTTAAAAAACAGCTATTATTATTATTTACTTAATGTGTTAGAGAGCAACCTCTGTACATTTTTCTTCAGAAGTTGATATTTTTCATCTAGATACTTGCTCCATACCCTAGTGAAAGGATGGGAGCTTTCCTAGATTAGTTCACCTCGTGTATCTTTTTCTTAGAAAAATTAGAAATGCTTAAAAAATAAAGCAATGTCTAGCCTAAAACTGTTCAATAATGTCTAGTTTTATTTTCCTTCCAGACCTCTCCTCGACAGGAAGCTTACATTTCCCTGCCACCTTGAAGTTAGGCATAGTCACCTGAACTTCTTTGCCCAATGAAATGTGAATGTAATAAGATGATGTATATGACTGCTAGGTGAATGCATTTAATCACTGGTGTTGTCCCTCCTCTCTATTTCTGGGTTTCTTGTTAATGGAAGCATTACAAGTTGATTTGGAAGTGCAATGCTGAGCCATCACTTAGAGGACAGTTGCTCTAGAGAATCTTCCCACTTACCACCAATTCACTGTGAGCAGGAAACAAAGCTTTGTTGTGTTATGTCTTTAAAATTTGGGGTTGGCTGTTAGCTTATCACAATGTAGCCTGTCCTTTGTTTTAGGATTGACAATACAATCCCAAGATGATGCTTTGCCATTAGACATATCATAAGGGCATCAATATAGCCTAAATTTTAGTTCAAAAAAACACTCTCTTTTTACAGATTGTTAATTAATATATAAACATCCTCCTTCTTTTTCCTCAACATTTCATCTACACTTTTCCCAGCACTGTTAGTATTTTCCCTGCTATGTGTGAAGACTTTAGAATATGTAGAATAGCAGAATATGTATATTGAATAAGATACAATAAAATACTGTTTCAAAGTTTAAAATGAGAAAGCATCTGTCCAATTCACATGGCCCATCCAACTAAGTAAAATAATACCAAAGTCACTCAATAAATAAACTGTTAATGGAAACCTTGAATTCATAACTATCTGATCCTAAACTTCACATTATTTGCACTAAAATCGTAACCTTTTCCTAGCTAATGAAACCTAGCTTCTAAAGTTGCCATGAGGCTTAAATGGGATATCATGTTCAAAGCAACCAGTCCAGATTCTGGCATCAAGAAATTCTCAATAAATGTTAATTTATCTTCGGAAAAACTCAAGATGCCCCTTAAATTTTAATCAGGTACCCTTACATATTAAAATTTTCAAACAGCAATCATTACGGTCCTCAGTGATTAGTGTCTTTTCCACAATAGATCATTGTGCTCTTTCCAGACCTTTAAAATTAAATTAAAACTTAATCCCGCGTCCTTTTGTTTCAGCTTGCTGAAATCTGAACCTGTGCCTGAATCTGGATTACAAAACAACTAAAATATATAGTGGACTTTATTTACGTGAGACTGTTTTCTAGTTGAGATCACTCCTTTTGGCATTATATTGATAAATTGTGGAGTAATCTGTTCCCAAATTCCAACTCCATCAGCAAAATCACTTTAAGTAGCCTTGATAAAACACACACACACACACACACACAGATATATAGAGAGTCTGAATTTTCCAACTATATTTAAATGTACACACATCTTTCTTTTATTGATCTGTACTTTTGATATTGATTTAATCTTTAGGATATATTTCATTGTCTCCTAAACATGGCATTTTATTTATTTTTGTTACTTCTCCAGGCAAAAACGCCAGTTTCATGGTTTATATTAGAGATTTGTTAATGAAATATATATTTCAGGTGAATGTTAAGCAAAAAGTTGTGGTGGATTTGACGTCCATTAGGCAACCCAGGCAAGGTTGACATTTTGTTGTTTTTCTTTTGTAATATTGATGCAGTTTTTCCCCTGTTAAGCTATTTACCACACCAAAAGCATATGAATACAGCATATTTAAAAAGCATATTTACTGTTTTACTTTTTTAATACTTACTCAATATTTATCACTGAGTTTCTACTTGTAGATTAGGAAATGCATTTACAAACACTTAGAATATTGAAATTTAAAGTGTTTTTAAACAAAATTTTCTTATGCCCTTTCAGTTTGCACAGATGAAACCCAAGATGCAGAAAGAGACTACATGAAAACAATGTGTTTGCTTATAGCTTACAACTTGTCGTAGCCATATCCCTACTTAGGAAGTGGAATGCAGACAGGTAGTTTCAGCCTCTGAGAAGAAATAAGACTTACCCTTTCCTGAACACTTCACATGAATTCTGGACTCTAGCATGACTGAATCTTTCCTCTTACACTTACTAGCTGTATAAGGAATCTTAAATATTTCTGGAACGAGATAAAACATAAATAGGCAAACCGTCACAGAAAACAACTACAAACAAACACACTAAACTAAACTAAATTTGTTATATTGCCTTTAAAAAATTCACTTAAGCTATCTCATTCTTAGTGTCTCATCTTTCCCATTGGGTTGTTGAGAAATCAAATGTGAATGCATTATAAAGGGTAAAGTACTTTTCCAATGTAAGCCAGACTTGGCATCCAGATGGACACAAGGGAATTTAAATATGCAAAGTGAAACTTTGGAATATTGAATTGCAGGGCATAAGGATAAACTTCTACTCTAAGAATGTGAACTCTGCTGCTAAATTGCCTGGAATTTAATCTCAGCTGCTTGATGTACTAGCCGTAAACTGACCTTGGACATGCTACTTAATCTCCCTTTGTCAAGGATTTTTCACCCTTGAAAAAGATGGGATAATAATACTTCTGAATTCATAAATTTATCATAAAAAGTAAATAACTTATTACATAAAAAATAACCAGGAGAGCCAGGCAGCTTTGCATGTAGTATGCAAGGTATAACAAACATAAACTAACACACTTTTTATTGTTGTTTCAGTATTATTATTTTCAGACCGCTAGGAACCTCAAGCCACTTTAAGTTCCACATGGCTTCTGACTAAAAGTTATATAAGAAAATCTTTTTTGCATGTAGTTGATGATGTGGGCTTGATTTATTGTTCCTTTAGCCACTGCCCATCTTGTATGATGGTAGTATCTCCACATTTTAACTGACCTTCATCGTCATGTCCATAATTCGCACTCCGTATCTTAGGCCCTGGCTAGGCTCTGCTCACAGCTTTCATCAGTTTAACTTCATATATTTTAGACTTTTGGTAATCAGGCCATGTAGCCGCTTTTTAATTTAATCTCTAGGAATTTCTCACATTCTGAACAGCTTGGAGCAGGGTATTCTCTGTGACAAGAAGAAGACAGCATTTCAAATGTGAAGAATGTTATTTTCTTTCCTTGCTCTCACACTGTGGGCAGCAACCTCATCTCTCCCTGCCCCCAGCCCATATAGTTATTACAGAATTTGAATGCAATTTTCAAATCAAGATTTAACTAATCTCAATTCCATGCAGTGAAACTCACATCATGATATATCATTGAGCAGAAATCCATTTAATTTGTATTAATCTAATACTATATTTTGAAAGATCACTTTGTTTGACTATTAACAGTGCTGGTAAACTAATAATTATGCACAGGATTGATTAATTACGTTTGGCTGTTAACAATTTGATTTTACCATTTTAGCTTGACATTTATCGAAGGTTTGTCTGCTGTTGGGCTGATGATTTGAATGATACATGTTAATTTGCATCCATCATTCCCTTTCATTACTCATATTAACTGTATTTGTAAGCATTGGGTAGTCTATAGTCGGCATTCAAGAGGTACTTCGGAAGCCAATCTCTACCCAAATCTTTGCTTTATTGCTATAGATTATTAAGCAGTTCCAACTTACAGACACAAAGAATGACTTGGGATTCAAATTAAAACGAGTTTAAATAGGCTGCAAAAGCTTTCCTCAGCAGAGTGACTTCTGCATTAAAAAGCCAAATGAATGCATATCACCATTCAGGCAGAGGAACCACCATTTTCTACACTCTAAGCTGTAATGTCTACTCTTAAAAAATATAATAGAATTTACATAAAATATTAAGTGAATTGCATATTATATCACTGCACATCGTACCTGTTTGATACATAAAAGTAAAAACTTGTTTAGTTTATCTTTTGTTAGTGCATTATCCATCAGATCATGCTCAATTGTGCTTAAAAGACAAAACAAATATTATCTAAGCCTTAAAATAGTCATGTATTCATTCATTCATTCAATAAATCAATTATTTGTCTTTTTAAGCATTCATTCAACTACTTGCTGGACTCTGCTAGCCCCTGGTCGGCATTTATTAATTATCTCTTTTCCATCCATTTCCCTTTTCTTCCTTCCCAAAAATACTCTATATTTTCCAGTCAAGCAATTTTGTACATTTTCATTTCTAGACGTGGATCCTGATTAACTTAAGCTAATCAAAATTACCATCACTCTGTCCGCAATGATAGGCTCAGACTGAACTTGAAGGCCAAAATTCTCAGTAACGATATAAGAGCTATGGGTATCTCTATATCAAATGCCATAGTGCGTTCTTTCACAATCCTGGAATTTCCTAGAAACAAACAAGGGGGAGAGAGAGAGAGAGAGAAACAAAAATACAGCAAACAAAACCGACTACCATATTAACAATTGTTATTAATAAAGGTTAATGTTTATCATTTACTTTTGTTGGTGTTTGTTTTTGAGATGGAGTCTTGCTCTGAAGCCCGGGCTGGAGTGCAGTGCTGACGGCAACCTCTGCCTCCTGTGTTCAAGCGATTCTCCTGCCTCAGCCTCCCGGGTGGCTGGGATTACATGCCCGTGCCACCATGCCAGGCTAATTTTTGTATTTTTAGTGGAGACGGGGTTTTGCCATGTTGGCCAGGCTGGTCTGGAACTCCTGACCTCAGGAGATGCACCCGCCTTGGCCTCCCAAAGTGCTGGGATTACATGAGTGAGCCACTGTGCCTGGCCATTTTCATTTACTTTGTATTAAATATCGACTGAAATAATAAAGTTGTGTGATAGACAACACAAAATCTCAGTAGAATAATAAGCAGTTATGCTCAGATATCAGGGATGGTCCTGTAGGCAGCTTCTCTGTTTCTCACTTGGTGTACTCAGATATCTGGAGTTTGGCTAGCTGTCAGCTGATTAGAATGGCCTTGATTAGAATGGTTGGAGTGACTCACCTCTGTGTGTCTCTCTTCCTCCTCCTGGGGCCACTGGCTTAGCCCAGGTATGTCCTTCACATGGCAATAGAGAGGGAAAGAGTGAAGAAGCCCAAGAGCCCTTCTAACCCTCCTTTTGTGTGATGCCTGTTAAGATTCACTTGGCCCAAAGCAAACATGGCTGAACTCAGACTCAGAAAGGAAAGGCACTACAAAGTAGATGGCAAAGGGGATAGAACCACGAAGTGTTGAAGAATTGGGACCATTATTATCATCTGCAATATATTTAATTTTTACAAAAGCTACAATACAAAAAAAAAATTATTTCTACAGTGACCTCAACTGCTCCTGTTTTTATTTCTCTATCAGAATCTTAGAATTTATTTTCTCCTTTCTCTTTCATGGTTATCATTCTGTACCCTTTAATTTAGCTACCGCCGCATATAATCATTGTACTACTCCTTGGGGTCACCCAAGTGTATAGTTTGTGGGGAGAATGATACTTTCCTTGCCTGGAAGACCCCTTCCCCTGCAGGAAAATCAAGGTAAAATAGAGAAAAGGATGATATAATAGGATGAAAAGAAGTCTGCATTGTGGAATTATATTTTTTTAATCTTATAGCTTTTATTTAACATTTAGGAGTTTAGGAATGTGTTTGTATACTTCACTCCCCAATTTCTTCCAATGTACTGTGAAAGCCAACATCACTTTAGCTTGGAACACCATTTGGTAGATCATATTTGATAACATATTTGAGAGTCCCAGGCCAGCATTTTGATTCCCGTGTGACAAATAAAGGTAAACACATTTTTCTTCTCAACTCTCCCTCTCTGTGTAGATAGAAACATATAGGTTACTTTTTTTTTTCTAGCACGTGTACATGCCTCAGGCCTAAAAAGAATTTATCTCAATGAAAAAAGCTCTTTTACTTTTCTTCCATTTCAGAAACTATTACCAGGATACAATTATGAGCCATTCTTTTCATTAAAATACCGAACTTTGCCAATCTGTTTTGATTTTTAATTGTATCTTTTACAACGTGATGCCAAAGTGCTTTCTTCTCTAGCATCGGCCAAGAAAGGAATGTAGAGACAGGTACATAAAAGGGTAGCCTGACTGTCTTGTCCATTTGGGAATTGTGTCTTGCCATCTGCTTTTAGATGTATTCTGTTTTCTGTTAAAAATCCAAGTACCCTCTAGCCATAGATTCCACACAGAGCTTCTAATAAGGTGAACTTTGCTTTAGGATTTCTCTGTTGTGGATGAAGTATTCCCTTCCTGCTGAGGTCACCCTTCTTGATCCAGGTGCTGATTTTTTGTGCTGCTCTTGATTTACTTATATTGATACTGGAGTCCTTGGTATGTGTTATATTGAAATATTACTAATGTATGAACTGTAACATTAAATTTCTAATCTAATCAATCAATGGCATATATATGCAGTAGACGCTTGGCTAGTAAAAAGATTAATTACCATGTGCAATGAAAACTAACTCTCTATAAGGTGAAATACTGCATGTCTCTCACAGAAAGATGGAAGCCTGAACACTGTGTTAAGCTAATGACTACTTCTGCCATTCAACCATATGGATTGCCTTTAAGACAAACTGAAATGAAGATTAAAGGCATGTAAAATCAACTCTCTATTAAAGCAGTTAGGGCTTTTCTCCAGATTCAACAGAAAAATTATGCAATCTGTTGTGAAACCAGGCACTTGTCTCCCAGATGGTGCCCAGAATCTATCTAAGCAAACACTTCTTCCCTGTTCTGTGTAACAAACTGGGCATATTTTTTATTTTCTGTGCTTGATTATGCATCTGAAGACATTTACACGGGAAGGATCTTGTAGAGTTGTTGTGGATTTGGGTTGTAAAACTTCACAATATTGTGGTGTTATACATTTTTGAGAGCAAACCTGAAGTTATAAAGTAAAAGATGATGTCATTTTCTGAGATGTACTATGTCCCTGATTTTTTAGCTTTTCTTTTCCAAAAATATTCTGCATGCTACTATTCAGAAAGTAAGGCCATGAATCTCTCAGATTGTTGATAATCTCCTGTTAATTAATGTGGACATGATTGCTTTTTTGGAGGCCTATTGTGAAATAAATTATTGGTAGTAGGGTACATGATTTTAATTATTATTGGGAGAATTTTGTACAGAAAGATTTTTATCATTTGAATGAATGCCTGAAACAGTTATAATTTTTTTCTAGATGTACAGCAAATATTCTTGTTTTATATATATGAAATCCTGATTGTTGGTGAACAATATTGGGCATAAAGATTAGGCTACATTCTCCTCGACATCTTTTCCACCTATTTTACCTGGTTCTCCTTGCTTTCTTCATATCCAGCATTCAATCTTGTCTTTCTTTGGCTTGACTGACTCCTTGCATCCTCATGCTCACCTCAGATTACACAAAGAGTTTCTCATTACTTAGAATTGAGTTAGGTGCAGTTATTTTCTTCTAAGGTCCCTGGAATTTACTGTTTCAGACATAGCACATTGTCTGCTGCAAAAAGTGAGTCTATAAAGAAGACAAATGAACTGTATTTAAACTTTATCTTCTATTTCTTCAGTCTTTAGCCAGCAAAATTTTGGTCCATGATAGGCACTCATATATTTTTGTTTGCTTGCTTGCTTGATTGGCTATATATCAATGAATAATGAATGAATACATGAATAAATTGAAGACATCAGCTTGATTGGCTATATGTCAATGAATAAGGAATGAATAAATGAATAAATTAATGGCATCACTTGTCATTGATTTATTATATATAAAATATATAAAATATATATAATACATAGTAAATATAAGAAATATATAAATATATAATATATAGTAAATATAAATATATATAAGAAATATATATACACATATATATATTTCTGCTTTTGACATGTAAAGACCTTGGAAACATTGCTCCCACCCTTACAACAAGAAAAAAAATAGCTGAACAAACTGAAAATCAATGACTTTTCCTAAATACTTCTGAGAATTGAGGTCACACAACAAATCACCACCCCAAAAACTGGGGAGGCAGGCTAATACAGAGAATATATACCAATCTACTTGAAGCAGAAATCACAAGAGCCTGGAACTGATAGAAACATTTAAATGTATTGCTGAAGGCTGACTATGGACTAGTTTAGAAGTTAAAACTCTGGAGGGGGCCAAGCAAAGGGAGGCCCCCACACTTTTGTAGGTTTTACCTCCAGGAGCCCCACCAAGTTTTCATGGTGAAAATTGGAGAAAAATCCCCTCAAGTTTGGTCAGGGTGAAGGTGAAAGTAACAATTATGAAATATGCCCAGATCTTCCTGTAAAACAAAGGCATACTCAGAAAGAGAGAAGACTTCATCAGAGCATTAGGTACATGAGGGAAGCAAAATGCCCAAATCCAGCTTTCTGTACCGTCTATCTCCCTTAAGACGGGAAAATGCTAAGAAGCACTTGCAAGGGCCACAGCCTATAAACACAGGACACTAAAAGACTAAGACCTAAATATAAAATTTTGGAATCCTCTCCTCCCCCCCACACCTTACCACCACATCAACAGGAGTCCTGTATAACAGTGGGATATAACTGCAGTACCTGCAAGGCTAGGACTCTAAGAAGGACTTTCTAAGGGAAACCCACAAATAACAAAGGAGACAAAATCAAGGATACAAGAGTAAATTTGAGCTTTTGACATCTGTAGATGCAGCAAAGAGTAAACATAGCTAACTCTTAAAAAGATAAACTCTCACCCAAAGATCTATCTACCTCATTTCCTTTTACTATATAAATTATGTTCAGTTTTCGATAAAAATTACAAGACAGCTAAAAGGCAAGAAAAAAAACAAAATCAGAAAAGAAAAAGTAAATATCAGGACTGGACTCAGATATGGCAAAGATTTTGTAATGGTCACGCCAATAAACAAAGACTGATATTCTAAAGGATATAATTTAAAAAATATAAAATATGCAAGAAGTAATGAGTAATATAAGAGAAGTTATGAAACTTTTAGGAAAATATCAAAAGAAAATGTTAGACACAACAAAAATTCCCAACCTGAAAAGGAAACGAAAGAGAAAGGAAAAAAAAATAGGATAGAATATTGAAGAATGATGGGGTCATTTAAAAGGTTTAAGATACGCATCATGAGAATACCAGAAAGAGAAGAAAGAATAAATCCAGAGAAATGTTTGAAGTAATAATGGCTTAAAACTTTCTAAAATTAACGACAAAAAAAGCACCCATAAATCCAGGAAGTTCACAGAATACTAATCAGGATAAATACCAACAAAATCTACAGTTAGGTGTATTATATTCAAACTGCAGAAAACCAAAGACAAAGAAAAAATCCTGGAAAGAGCCAGAGGGTATAAAATGCATGAACTATACAGGAACAAGTATAAGGATCAATCAGACTTCTTGTCAGCCATGAAAGCAAGAAGAGAATAGAATAAAATATTTAAAATGCTTAAAAGACCTAGGATTTTGTATCCAGTGAAATTATCCTTCAAGAGTATAGGAGAAATGAAGACTTCCATAGATAAACACAAAATAAAGGAATTTCATCCATAAAAGTTTCCTTGCAAAGAATATCAAAAGAAGTTTTTCAGAGAAAATGAAATTCTTACAGGTCAGAAACTTGGTTCTATAGGAAAAAAGGAAGAGTGTCAGAGAAGGTATAAATGAAGATAAAATACTATCTTTATATTTCTTATTCCTGAATCTGATCTAGTAGATAACTGTTAAAAGTACTAATAGTAACAACATATCATGTGATTATTAAAAAGGTATAAGAAAAATAATTAGCAGCAATATCATAAGTAATTAGAAGGAAGAATTGAGAATAGTCTGTTTTAAATTACCTATACTACCTTGAAGTGGTGTAGTGCATTTGAAAGTGGACTTGCATTAGTGGTAAATGTATATTGGAAATGCTAGGACAAACACTAATATTTTTTAAATTATGGTTCCCCTTCTAAGAAATGAGAGAAAAATAGAATCATATAACATGCTCATTTAAAAGCAGAGAAGGCAAAAAATGGTGAAGATTTTAAAACAGAAAGAACAAGTGTAGCAAATAGAGAAAACTTATAAACATGACAGATATTCATTGAACTATACCAATGATCACTTTAAATGTGAATAGTCTAACTTTGCCAATTAAAAGACAGTGACTGTCAGAGTGGAAGAAAAACAACAACCAATTACATACTGTTTCTGAGTTTATAGGTAAGTTACAAGGTAAGTTTACAGACTTTACATGTAAAAATGCAGGTTAAAAGTGAAGGGTGAACTCTCATTCATTGCTAGTTGGAATGCAAAATGGTACAGCCACTCCTAGTTTGACAGTTTCTTACAAAACTAAACATATTCATATTATATAATCTGATTCAACAATTGTGCTCCTTGGCATTTACTCAAATGAGTTGAAAACTTATGTCCACACAGAAACCTTCTTATGAATGTTTATAACAACTTTATTCATAATTGCCAAACCTGGAATCAACCAAGATGGCCTTCCAAAGCTGACTGGATAAGCAAACTGTGGCATGTTCATACAGGGCAATATTATTCATTACAAGGTTCTGTCATGTTTTCTCTGGCTTGGTAGTTTATTTCTTGGTAGAAATATTGCTTAGTGTGAAAATGCATATTGCTTAAATACATATTGCTTAGTGAAAAGAGCCAATCTAAATAGATTACATATCACATTATCCTGACTATATAACATTCTGGAAAAGACAACACTACAGAGGCAACAAAAAAGTTAGTGGTTGCTGAATATTCTAGTGGAGGTGGGGAGGAAAGAATAAGTGGAGCACAGGGGATTTGGGGGGGCAATACAACTATATAAAATTAAAATTAATATAAATATATTAATAATTATGTATTTGTCAAACCCATAGAAATGTACAACACAAAAAGTAAAGCTTAATGTAAACCATGGACCATAATATAAGAAGAATGCATCAATATTGTTTCATTAGTTATAATGAGTATACTGCACTAATGAAAGTTGCTCATGAGGGGTAATTGTGTGAGAGTGGAGGGAGCAGATGGAATGCATACGTAGAACTCTATATTATCTGTTAGATTATTCTGTAAATCTAACACTGTGGTAAAAAATAGTGTATTCATTATTAAAATAATACATACAAGATGCCGACATTTCAACCGTAGAGCAGTTTCAAAAAGCAAAAGGATTTTAGTCACAATTTTGCTTTTCCACCTCTCTTAGTCTTTAAATACAAATGGATTATCTATAGAACTGGCAAATCCGCAACACAATGAGACCCTTAATGTTTTTATCCCATATTTAAATGGTGATGGGGTTGCATTAAAGGAAGAAAACATATTCATGCTTAAAAATTATATTACAATGTTTGTAAAGATACTAAAAGGAAATATTTGTCTGCAATTCAAATTTTAACATCAATGAATAAATAGTCCTTTGTATTACAGCTATTCATTTGATATATATTTTTTCTTTAGCAATAATTTTTTTAGTGACTTGAGTAATGGAATGACATATTAGCTATGATCCCTGGACAAGGAGTTCATAGTCAAGGTGAAATAACATATATATATATATATATGTGTGTGTGTGTGTGTGTGGGTGTGGGTGTAATCTATTAATCTGTTTGTATCTTTATATGTAAAGTGAGTATCTTATACGTAATATAAAGTTGTGTATTGTTTTCCATCCATTCTGCTAGTCATTGTCTCTTAATTGGCAATTTTAGACTATTCACATTTCAAGTGATCATTGTATAGTTGGATTAATATCTATTATCTTTGTAAGCACTCTCTATACTTCTTCTTTGTTTCTTCTTTTCTAATTTTCCCTTTTCCGCCTTTCGTGGTTTTAAATAAGTATCTTATATGATTCGATTTTTCTAGTATATACATAGTATTTGGCACATTATGGAGTAGAAAGGAGACTTTCTGTGCTTTAAAAAAAATGAAGTAAGAGAAATTAGTGTAAACTATGTGGCTTGAACAGGCTAATTCGCCAGAAAAACTGTAGTTGTACTACAGACAACTGCTCTGGATGATTCTGTCACTATCTTATGTCTGTAGGGAAATATTTGTGGGATAAGACTGACAAGAACTGACATTAACCAAGGCATCAACATATAAAAATGCTCAATATGTCTTACCATAGCAAGTATATCTGTATCATATGCTCAGAAGAAGAAGTGTAAATGTAAACGTCTGCAAGAAACGAGAAAAGAAAGTTGAAAGCAAACAGTCCTTTAAATGCCCCATGAAAAAGAATGGATTTTAGTGTAAGAACAACACCTAGGACACCAGAAAGTCTGCATATGAAATACACATGCTACATGTCTCACTTGGGATCACTGATCCTAAGAATACTACTATGAGTTCTGGCTTCTCTGATGCAGAAGGGAGAAGGACCTGCTTAGTGGCAGAACATCCCATTAGGAATCTACTGTCATTTAATTAGGATAGGTAACCACTGAGAAATAATGATTTAATTAGAATAGGTGATGGTAGAGAGGAGGAAAATAAGAAAGTTATCTCTAAGATGTCTGAAGTAAAATGAAATGGATTTAGCTACTTTTTGAGTCTTTACCTTCATGTCCAAAGTTACTCCTTACTCTTCACTTGTGTAAATTTGGTGATTTTGCATACAGTTTACAGTTTTGTGTCTGTAATGGCATGACAGTGGCATGTATATTTTAACCAGTATTATTCCTTCTTGAGAAGCATTATTCCTTCTCTAACAATGGATCTATAGTTTAAACTTCAGTAGCCACTGAAATCAAAACATGTTCAATTTAATAATCTTTCTGATAGAATAATTTGCAACTGAGAAACCTTAAAAATTAATGACGGAAACAGTTTAGGAAACCAAGTTTTACGAGAAGCTATTAAAACACTTACAAATATGATTTTATTATTTAGTATTATATTGCTATTTTTTGTTTCAGTAAAGATGATATCTGACATTTTATGTGTCTTAATGCGTAGCGGCTATTATCCTTAAATCTAAATTCTATTTAGTATACCTATGTAATACAAGTTCTTGGGATTTCATGCTAGATAAAAATTTTTGTTACCATAATACCTTACCTATTATTTAGATACTTATTTCAGAGCTGACTTCAAGTACAATCTTTTTCCTTAATATTTTATAGTAGTTTTTTGGAAGGAGCATGAGTAGTTATGTTCCTTTGTTTTACCTTTTCTTTCTTTTTCATAGCAGAGAGGTCTCTTTAAAGGGAAAAATACGTTTTATTTGACAGCTTTACATGAATGCATTTCCAAAGCCCTTGTGATAGAGGCAACCATTTCATTTTATCTAAGAATTCATTAAATCTAGGACTTTGTGGTTTCAGATTCTCTAGGTTCACTTTGAGCCTTTATTATGGCATGTGTCAGGTATTCAGATCTGATTAGAAGAACTCGATTCTTTAATCAAGATTTTAATTTAAGTCTGGAGACACATATTAAACACGTAAGTTTAAGTTCTTGATTCTTATTAGAGAATAACTCATTCTTCCATACAAACAACATTTTTATTATATTCCCACTGGACTTGAGAATTAAAAATATATTCATTAATTTTTCTGTAATTCATCAAGCTTCATCCATAAAAGGCCAGATAACTATTTTTAGTCCTTGTGAACCATATAGTTTCTGTCACAAATACTCAACTGCGCCTTTATAGCAGAAAGCAACAATAGGCAATGCAATAAACCTTTATTTACAAAACCAGATGAGTTGTAGGATTTGGCCCACAGGTTTTAGTTTGCTAGTCCCTGATTGAATGGTATGCATAGTATATAATGTAGTACATGAAACTATACCATAAAAGTACTAAAATTTAGTTTTACACACAGGCTTTAGGTTAATGTGGTGTCAATGCCTCAGTTTCTCTCTACTGCTGACTATAAGATAATCTTCACTAAAACAACATGGAACATATCCTTCCTGGTGAACACTTTCATCGACAAAAAGAAAAAAGAGACTGAGAGAGCCAGATGCATCAAACAATGTAAATCCATGAAATCCATCAGCCAAAGGAAATCAATGTTAAGAAAAACAAATTCTTGGAGTACATTTAACTTGCTTTTTTTTTTTTTTTTTTTAGACGGAGTCTCACTCTGTTACCCAAACTAGAGTGGAGTGGAGTGGCGTGATCTTGGCTCACTGCAACCTCCACCTCCTGGGTTCACGCCATTCTCCTGCCTCAGCCTCCTCCCAAGCAGTTGGGATTACAGGCTCGTGCCACCACTTTTGACTAATTTTTGTATTTTCAGTAGAGACAGGGTTTCGCCATGTTGACCAGCCTAGTCTTGAATTCCTGACCTCAGGTGATCTGCACACCTCTGCCTCCCAAAGTGCTGGGATTAGAGGCGTGAGCTGCCATACCCAGCCCCATTTAACTTGTAAATAAGTATTATTATAAACTCCACAATTTGGCTCTGAACTTTTTTGTCACCAAGGCAAAAAAAGAAAAAACTGATAAATTGTGAAGTTTTTATTGCCAAAAAATTTTGTTTTAAGTCATTTTTAATTAGATATCTCTGGGTTTCTGTTGAAAGTACTTTCTCAAATAAAGAGAAAGTATAACATAGTATACTACTGAAATTTCCAGAGCGAATAAAATGATAAGTCAGAGATTTTCCTTTTAATGTTTTTTTACAATGTAGGCTTTATTAAGCCCAAAATATAATGTTCCAGTATTTCAATAATTAAATAACAAATGATAAATTAATATCTATTAAATTACAGTTTATCGAAGCTATTCTATTGTTCGTGTGTGGTGGCTCCCGGATCATTTATGGGATACAGAATGTTGCCAACCGATGCTCTGGCTTGAGCTAAGAATAGAGGATAATTTGAATATAAAATTCAAACATGGCCAGGTGCGGTGGCTCACACCTGTAATCTCAGCACTTCAGTAGGCCGAGGTGGGCGGATTATGTCAAGTCAGGAGTTCGAGACCAGCCTGGCTAACGTGGTGAAACCCCGTCTCTACTAAAAATACAAAAAGTAGCTGGGTGCAGTGGCTAAAAATACAAAATACAAAAAAAAATACAAAAATACAAAAGCTACTCAGGAGGCTGAGGCAGGAGAATTGCTTGAACCTAGGAGGCGGAGATTGTAGTGAGCTGAGATCATGCCACTGCACTCCAGCCTGGGCAACAGAGTGAGACTCTGTCTCAAACAACAACAAAAACAACAAGAAAAACAACAACAAACATAAGGGGATGTTTTAATGGAGCCATAGTCATCCTTATAATGGTAGTAGAAAGCATATTATTGGATTAAATCCTTAGCATGAAAGCATAGCAGAAGAGAAAGGGGTGGTGAGAAACTTAACATGTTGTAATTGTATGCCATGAAAGAGACTGAAGTAATTAAAAGAAGTTTTGAAATACTTCAATAGAAAAATAAATAGTTCCCTCAGAACTACAGATCCTCAATACCAGATTGCATTTTGTCAAAAAAAAATCAATTGTTTAAACATGCTGAAAATAATTTGAAGTACTGATGCAAAATATCATTGACTAGAATTACATTTTATTTATTGCATTGATTCAATTAAGATGCTATAAATTCAGAATATTGCTGATAGGATTTGTAAATTATTAGGCTATTCAACCATTCTGGTCAAAGAGGCTTAGGGGAGGAAAGAGATTTATAATTTCATGGTTCAATGACATAATGAGCACTATTAACTTAATTAGTTATTATTAAAATAACACTTTATGCTGCAAACAGTAGAGCTCCTTTGGGGGCAAGGGACTCTTCAACTTTACCTAAAATGTTTTCATAAATTAAATATTTCACAATCTTTAAGTTAAGAATTCATGCAAGCTTCTCTCTTAAGTGTGATTGAACTTTAAAAAATATTGCCTTTAGAATATTGTTCTAAAAAGATATAAAACTAAATCATATAGAGATGGCTGTATAAAAATGAATGCATTAAAAAAGTGTTTGAGACACATTTCACTTATCTCTGAATACTAAGTAAAAAAGAAGTGAGGTGGTTTGACATTCCTATTTGACTTACATAAATATCTTTTTAAAGAGGAAAATATGCCCTCCCTAGGAGGGACAGCCAAATGCTAGGTGGAGCAGCTTGTCATGGAATATGATAACTTGGTGAGGGCTGCATGACCTAAAACCTTCAAATATTTAAGCTAATAATGAATGGTGTAAAATTCACAAGTGAATGAAGTAAGAAACAGAATAAATAATAGTTAAGTTTCCTTTTTAACTTGAGAATGTTTTGCTATATCCTTTTTTTGCTATATCCCTTGACATATATAAATTGAACACATGCTGTGTATTTTGTAACTCCCAGAAATACAATTCAAGACCGATATGATCTATTTAAGGCCGACAAATCTATATAACTTGCTTAAAATCAAGAAAGGTATTGTGATGCAAATTAAGCTCCTTCAGTATTGCCTTGGCTAGTCATAGAGCTGATCTAATTGTCCCTCTGTATTTTGGGGAATAGTAAATGATGAAGGGCATGTTTCAAGAGTGATAGACAATAGTTTGTCTTTTTTGCTAAGGTCCTACAATAACGTGAGGATGTTCATTATAACAGATAAGCAGCTATAAACTTCCCTTTATTATGATGAGATTAATTAAATTTTATTTTGAACCTTAAAGCCCTCAGAGACTCAGGATTCATGTGGCTCCATAAACATGGCCCAATCTATTGTCAAACCAGAATGGTAGAACTGAAAGCATCTCCAATATAGAAACATATGGACTTCCAAACTTGTTCACTTGCTATGGAAGCAAGGTATGATTCTGACATTTGCAAAAGTAAAAGAAAACTGAATGATTATTCTTAAAACCTGTTTTCCTCTTCTTTCCATCTTTTATTTAAATATTTTTCATCCTTTAATTCTACTGGCCACATCAGAGATATTATAGATCTATCATCCTTTATTGTGTATATTTCATCAAAGAGACATTGCCACAGAGTCTGCCGATTTCACATATAAAATGCAAAGTCCTTTCAGGCAAAAATATAAGAATAATTCAGTGAAATTTATGAAGTTTTTATGTTTCTAATATTATATAAAATGTTACATATTTTAGGATACATTTTCCTAAAATAATATATTGCACATTGCATTTCTATAGCAAGACACATTAATTGCCTGGAAGTTGAAGTACAATTGTCCAAGAGACATAGCTTTTATTGCTCAGAAAAATAAACAATTACAGGGAGGCTATTTACTTAAGACCATGTTCATGAATAATATGGCAGGAAATTGTCTAAACGCATTAGACTGTTTAATAATACTTTTTATTTTATTTGTGTCTTAAATATTTAAATTGAATTGCTTTAGTATGATATTGCTTTGTATTTTATTAAACATATGTAAAATGTGGTGGTTTTCTTTGTTCCAAAATTCATAATTTTTCATCTGCTCTCCACTTATGAGGGAAAAAAACTCCACACTGATTGTACTGCAGCTTTTCAAGAAAAAAAATGAAAAATACTATTTCTCTATAGTTTTAGTTTTCTAAAAATTTCTTCTTTTAAGATATGCAGCTGAAATCATAAGGCCATATGAATATTTGGCAATATTCATATTGCCAAATCATAAGCCTGCTTAATATGATCACAAGTAGATAAACTTGACTTCAAAGAATAATTATTTAGCAAAACTGTCTCTTTTTTATAAGCATGTTGGTAATTGTCTCATACACTCTCTTTACATGAATAAATCTAAAAAACTGATTTTTCCTCTTTGTAATTATTTTTCTCAAATTTTCTAACATATTATTACTATAATAAATAGGTAGAAAGCAACAAACAATTGCAAAAAAAGCAGAATGATAAACTCAGATTTAAGAATCAAAGAAGAATTTTATAGAATTCCTGTATATAGTATGCCTAATGCATCCCCCATAGTTTATACTGTGACTAAGGTACTTAAAGAATATCCCCAAAAACGTACTGGCTATTTTCAAAAACTATGGGACTGAACAAAGATATATCAATATTTATAGCTATTCATAAATACTAAGTAGAGTAACAGGATTTCCTATTAAATAGTAGCTTTTGAGCTGTGTGCATGAAATCTTAATTTCCGAATGCCATTCCAAACTCTTGCAAATGCTGCAGTTTTTCTTGCTAACCCATCACATGAAACTATAATTTAGACTGCAATCCCAGTTGACAGAGGTTTTCTTTCTTTACTTTCTTCAGAACCAAGAAGTGTGGGGATAGAAAAGTTGTATACCAATGTGTTTGATATCCAAAGATTCTTGTGATTAATATGATGTCATTAAAAGACCACACCTGCTAATAGTTGTGAGAAACTTACTTCAAGTCATTCATACATTGTTTATCCCATATATCCCAAACACACAGACACACACACACACACACAGAGACACTTCCGTTATTTAATAATAAGAATACTATGAAACTTTCAGTCTTTGCTTTTAAAAGCAAAGGTAAAACCCGCAATTATTTTTGCACCAATCTAATGTTGTTTTCCTAAGTTCTGGGTTTTGGATTTAATTTGGTATTATCAGTACCATCTTTCTACTAATAGTTTCCAAAATTCTGTAATCATGAAACTTAACTATAAGTAAACATTTGGAGATGTAAACCCCATATTTTTTGTGTCACTGTGATTAGTATGGCTGTATTCATCAGAACAAATAAATAATGTTAGGTTAAGCAATGTGTACATTGATATTGTTCTCTTTGAAGGTCAGCTATATAGGGCTTGTATTGTGGTTCTGTGAACAAATTGCTGAAACCTCCTCCGTGTATTTTGTGTAATTATCCAAGAAAGGCTTATAATCTAAGGTATTTGCTAAATTTCCCTTATTCCAGACAATAACAACAAAAAACCGGGGAAACTGCATTCAAGGAGCATTCTGTGAAACCTCAGAGAATACTTCTGCTTACCTCACTACCCAATTGTCAGTCACATGGTCAAATGCAAATACAGAACGATGGGAAAGAGTATTTTCACTAGCCACATCACTGACCACATTATAATTTAAATTAAAATTTAAATTATATTCTGAAGAAAAGTGTGGAATTGAAATTTAGGGACAAAATCAGCAGTTTATAAAATAATAAATCATAGTTTTATGTATATACATGAGAAGAATAAACTATTGTGCTAGCATATACATTATGAAACACAAATATATGTAATTTACAAAGCATAGAAGAGAAATACGTAAACAAAATAGAACTTCATCCTGCCTTGCCCTATCCAACACAGTGAACAAACCAGATTTGGGATGTTGTATTATAACAATGTAGAATAAATTAGGATTGAGGTTAATTACTCCTGCATAATGGTATTATTTAAAGTGGTTGTTATATAACAGATAGGGATTTTCTGCACCATATTCTTTGGTTGAATTAATTTATTATATTTCAATGATAACTGCTCAGCTCTATCCTTTCTAATTTCAGAGGTGTTTAACTGAAGATGCAGAAAATTTCAATTGAGGAATGCTAGTCACAATTATACCCACAGCTGATGAGAAGTAACATCAGAAATCTGCCGTCTGTTTCCTCCTTCAATATTTAAGAATTTCACTTTTTAAGTCTTTTTGATTTGAGAAATAACATGTTTAACTATCGTTAATATTTGAATGTCATACAGGTGAACACACTGTTATTTACAACTTGATTTCACTCTGCCATCATTCTACTACCTCCAGACAATTAGAAGCTAGGAGAAATGTACAGGATTAGTGTTCACCAAAACATTTTATTGAGACAACCTGCATTTAAAGAAAATATTATGAAATTCTCATTGTGCCAAAATTTTTAATAATATTGCATATTTCATAAAACAAAACTCTATAAGAGAATAAATAAGATTTAGGATTTTTGTGTATTTTAGGATAACCAATGCTATGAATTATCCTGAATGAAAACCCTGGGATTAATCTATAGCTATTCCATGTTTAATTTGGTTATTTCGGTAATATTTTAAATAAATGTCATAATGGCAACATATTTAACCCTGTTTATTCTCTTATTACTGTTTTACTCTGAGCTCTGTAACATTAGAGAAATGCAGATGCCAGTAATCTTAAATATTTGTGCCTTCATGTTTTTGGTGAAATGAATGTGATATTTATCATACTCATTTAGGGACATGACTACATATATCCCAAGCTGTCCTTTGATAGAAATAAACTGAAAAGTTGGAAAAAAACTTCAACATTTCAATTCCTACTAGAGACCCATTTCACCTCTTACATTCATGGATTATATTTCTACTGCTAAAAATAACAGTAATGATAGAAATATGTATTTAACATTTCCTATGTGCCACATGTTTTAATAATTTCATTTAATATTCAAAAAATTTCCATATGTCTTCAATTTATGTAGGCCCACTTTTCAGACATGAAATTGCTAGCTCAAATGTTATAGACTTTGATAGAAGGTTTTAACATACTGATGTAGCCCAACTCACACATTTCAGAGACAGAAATAATAACCTCTACCTGTAGCAATAAGCATGTAAAGTTTTAAAAATAATTTAATTTAAAAAGTAAAAAAGCGAAAGTAGTTTCATAATTTACAAAGTGAAAAGTGGTTTCAAGGTCATCCTAAAATAATATAATTTATGAATTCTGATGTGCATGTGTGTGTGAGAGACAGCCAGCCATCGTACATGATTGTGCCATATATAAATGTCATTTATCCTATGAATTCTAATACAATACATATGCTTTTTGAAATCTGATTTAAGTAGCAGCTTGAGGACCACATTTAAAGAGTTCTAAAACCTTAATAGAAAGATATGACACATAATAAGATATTCAGTAATGGAATTACTGGGATTAATGGTAGAAATGTTAGTGTTTTCTTAGATAATACTTACAATAACAAAAGAATTATATCACCAATATTCTTACCACCTAGAAAGACCTACCTTTACTGCTCTTTAAAGTTTTTTTAATGGAATATTAGTATAAATAGAAACATAAACTAAATGTATACTTATATTAACTATGAGATTTGTTAAATTTAAACATTTGACCATTTTCCACTTAGTAAACACTAATAATTTTCATGCCATTAAATAATTTTTGGAAACCATTATCTTCAAGGATGGTAATATTACATAAAATTGAAGTAACAATTTATATAAAGTCTATATATTAATCTCTACATTTAAAATCATTCCAAAATTAATACTTTAACATTTTATAAATATAATTATATGTGCGCATATAAATTTATTTTATTAATATCAATTTGTGAAATCACTTGATCATAAGGTATACTTATTCTTAAGTTAAAAAAATAGAGCAAATTAATACATCTAAAAGAGAGTGAAATGTGTACATATATTTTTGCTATCTTTTTAGCTGTATCTACCTTCATCTTTAAATAATTGTTGAAAGTTTTTTAGCTTCTTGGTCATTCTGTGTGTCTGCATAGTCTTTTGTATTTTATAGATATCTAGCTTTCTCCTGTAACAATAGACTTCCTCTACCTAGATGGAATATAGTCGGAATATTCCTAAGTCACATACTCATTTCTCTGACACAGAAGATGAGAAATGCTCTCAGTGTCCATCACCAAAGTCCTGGAAAAATATTTGAACTGGCCATGCTTAAATCATGTTTCCATTTGTGATCCAAGCATTATAATCAGGACAAAGTGAACAGTAATGGATTCAGAGTAAGGAAATGTGCCAAATTCTGTGGTCAAAGGGTCAGGATCTATTGCCAAAAGGGTTATAGGCTTGATGTGGAAGCTGAGAACAGAGTGATGTCATTTAATCATTCTATTATCTTCAGTTTTGCAATTTTTAAATTAATAATAATTGTACATGTTCATACCTATAATGTATGGTGATCAGATCAGGATAATCAGCATATACATCATCTCAAACATTCATTATTTCTTTGTGTTGGGAACATTTTAATAACCTTCTTCTAGCTATTTGAAAATATACAATATATTATTATTGACTGTATCCATCCTACAGTGGTATAGAATACTGGAAATCACTCTTCCTATCTAGCTATAATTGTGTAACCTTTAACAAATCTTTCCCTATCTCTCCATTCCCTTTACCTTCCCAGCCTCTAGTGGTTGGTTATTTGCTTTGTGTAATTCAAAATCAAATACTATAAATTACCAGCATGATGGTAAAATCAGAGGTCCTTTTTGTAGGGTAAATATTCCTAAAATAAGAGAACAATCAGAAGGGGCAGAAAATTAATTACAATACTTAAACATAACCTCAAATTCTGTATTTATTACTTGACTCATGTAAAATCCATAGGCTGTGTTTTTGTGATCCTATCCATAGGAACATGTTTTTATGATCTACCTAAAATAATTAATCACTGTAGTTTTTGAAAATAAAGGCAGACGAACAGCAACAACAACAACATAGCATGTAAAATTCACTCCCACCTTAGGTAGTGATAAATACACTTAATGTCAGTGAGTCAGGGGTACAGGGAGACCAACAGAGAAGCTACGTTTTTCCAGATGTTAAAGATTTGTAAACAGGTTACAGGAGCAGCACATCCTGCTCCGAATTAGCTTTGCCAACCAGATTACTAAAGCTAAAGGAAAAGAAAAATAGAATGCCTAAGCAACCCCAGAGACTTTCCAATGAGAGGATTGTGAAGGATGTTTGCTGGTACAGATCGCTACATGGGATAAACCAGGTTTTATGTTTCTATTTACATATTAATTGTAATTCAACTATGGCATAATTAAGGAGGCTCAATACAAGGTTGTATGAAAACAATTGCATAAACAATAAGTATTGGGCTTTTGAGGATTGTTACAAAGTTTACTTAAAATGCTGTCACTGTTCTTGTCTCGATTTTATTCATGCCTAGTTTCCATTTTAATGATTGATTTATTATTTCTCATAAATTTAAATGAAGCTAGTTTTGGCAGTAATACTCTTTTATTCCATTATTATTTCTCATGAAAAAAAGTTGGGGGTTTAAGATATTGCAGTTAGTGATTTTTTTTTTTCAAACAAGGGAGCAGATTAAACGAAATCTCTATCACAGGAGGTTAGAAATTATTTGTTTTTTTGCATGCAAATTAGAATGGCATCATGTCAAATTGATAAGTTACATTCTGTAGGAGTCCAAAAAGACAAAATTTAAATATTTAGTATTTCAAACATTAAAATAACTGTACAATGGAATTAGAACTAAGCCATTACATAAATATAAAAAATAAATTGTGAACAAATATGAAGTTATTTATTGACCATTCTAAAGTGACTATGTTATTAAAAAGAGTCTCTGTACCTGGGGAAAGGAGGGTTGCTTTTAAGTCACAGAATTTTGCAAATATTTGAAGTATTGAAAAATATAGCATTAAACAAACAAAAGATAAGAGAAATCTCAATGTAATACGATAAGGGACAAAGGAGGTGCTGGGAGATTATTTTCTAGTTGATTGTGAATAGTAAGTGAATAGGAAGTCTAAAGCTATTGACTAAGAGGAGGATGAAAGAAATCTATCTCTTGGTTTCAATGATTTTTCTTTCTTCCTCATTTTATCCTTCTCTTTTTTATATTTTTTCCGTCTTATTTTTGTCTTCAGTTTACTCTTTTAGCTTTTTCCTCTATTGTATCTCCTTTTCCCCAAATATAACAATCAGCATAGTAATTGTGAAATACCCAAGCATGTGTGTGTATGTGTGTGTGCGTGTGTGTGCGTCTCTCTCTATATATACACAGAAAAAATATACACACAAAATATACACACACAAAATATACACACAAAATAAGAAGCTACAGAGTAGTGTTTGGGGTTTGGTTGGGGTGCACAGGGGATAGCATGTAAATGTAAAGTATTTACTATACAGTAATATTAAACATGACAAGATGGTCATTATGCCTCTTGGCTCTACTTTGTAAAAATCCCATTTTATTTACTCAGTAGATTAACCCTTAGAACAGGAAAATGTAACCTTTTTGTACCCTGGACCCCATGAGTAGTCTGATGAAGTACAAAGACACCCTCTCAGAATTATTTTTAAATGCATAAAATAAAAAGCATAGGATTACAAAGGAAAACAATTATGTCAAAACATAGTGATCAAAATACTAAAAATGCAATTTATCAATGTAGTCATCTATGTGCTTTTTAATTAAAATATTAACAGCCTGGTGTAGTTTTATTATAATAACAATCATACTTTCAAGATAGCGATGAGATTAATAATGCAGATATCTACACAAGTATAATTTGAGAAAATACACATATTACAATATCTGTGGTTTTTATTAGTGACAAAGTCATATGTCTTGCTTGATTAAACAGTAGCTTAATCATATTTTTGCAAAAATTTGTATTTGAAGAAAATGCAAGTTTCAGTTTAATGTTAATTAAAATAAAGATGCAATTTTGTTTTATTTTCCATATTCAAAGATCGCCTCAATTCTATTCATAGATCCCATATTAACAATGCTTGCTGCAGATGCCAGAAACCATATTGTTTCATATTTGACTTTATACCATCAATTTCTCTAAGTAAGACGTTTCCAACTTTATGAACCAGCAAATTACCAAAGGGAATTATTTTTAATATTGTTTCAAAAATACAAATTTTAGGGCCTAACCCCAAACAGAGCTCTGGCCAGAGAATGACCATGCTACTTGCCACGGGAACTATTAAAGAGAAGCAGTTTCTCAGAATCCTTGAATTTCTCAGAATCCAGGAAACTTTTTCTAATCTAGTTCATAACACTCATGACAACAACAATGACAAAATTAGTTAAACAAACACACACATAGATAGAAGAAATAATCTCTCTTCCAAGTAAGTTTTGGCAAATTGTCAGATAACTGGTTTATGAGTGTGTGTGTGTGTATGTGTGTGTGTGAGAGAGAGAGATTACAAAAATCTGAGCAATATAGAAAAATAGTATACACAGTATACTATACTATACACAGTATCTCAGCAAAGTATACAAAGTTAGAATGTAATCTGCAGAAGATACACTTGACTTACCTAACTTTAACTCTCTACATGATAGGCACATTACTTATTCCAAGGCTCATCTTGGAGGGGACAAAAAGATGGCGCACATGCAGAACCTACCATGGTATCCAGCAGACTGGACAATCAAATCATGGTTGTGGTTATTACAATAATGATGATGATTATTATTACTATTTCTGCTGTAGTATTAAATTTACTTCACTTATATTCTCCATCGCTTTTCATATTCATCCTATTTGTAGCGTGTCTTTGTTAACATATCAAGCATCTGTTTATTTCTACATATTTTGTCTATTTTATTATTTTATAATTAATTTAGGAGACATTACCAATATGTGCAATAATAAGAGGTGTTTGGATTACAGATGTATACTCTGATGAAAATAAAAACCTCTAATTTTCTTCTCCTGTCACCAGTAAGGAACTGCTTCAGTCAGATGTGGGAGGTTTAAGAAAGACCTTCATGATACGAAGAACATTATTATTCTTATCCAAAAGTTTGTGGGGGAGAAGATATTCAAGAAATAAAAGAACTTCAAATATTCTTCAGAGATAATTCGGGATGGTATAAAATATGGAAAAAGTAAAATACTTCATTTATCTTCACATGTTTGGGATACGGGAACATCTCTTGGTTTACTGTTTTTTCTAAACAATGGTAGTTCCAACTGGCAAAAAAAAATGGATAAAATCAAAACAGAAATTCATAACTAAAGTAACTCTGAAATTCACTGGATTTCAATCAAGCAAAAGAACAAGACATCCGAATAAAAAGTAAAAGCCATTTTAAGAAGAAGCTGAATAAGTTTAAGGTGGAACAAGGACACTTTTGCTTTCTCTTCCCATGATTACAAGTAAAAAAAAATGTAAAGACACTTATTGGAAAAAAAAAAAAGACACTTATTGGAGGATTCTGAAAATTAAATATGAGCAAGTAACTAAGATAGGAGAATCAAAATTCAAGAAATGGCTCATAAGGCAATATGCAGCTAGTTTTTTTTTTTCTCCTGGATTTCCTGGGAGACTCAGACTCTAAGGCGGTCCAAGTCACAAATGGGTGCATAAAGATAATATTGCTCTCAGACAGAAAATAGCTAGAGAACTTGGAAAAGGGTTCCGTGCAATAAATCTCATTTGATTCTTCTGGTCTTTCCCAAGGTGAGCCTCAGCTACAAAACTGCACCCTTGTTTCAGCAGTGATGGTGGCAATGTAGTATAGTGATGGTATGATGACCTCATAGGCTCGTTTTTTCTTGCCACATTGCCCAGTGCAGACCCAGTTATGGGAAGTGTGCAACAGTGCAGAGAAGCTAAGCCCCTTACTTTCTAGCGAGAGTGCTAGGAAAAATAAAAAGCCCCGGGAACCCACATATGTATGGCAGATCATGACTAGAGTGGAGCTAAAGGAAGAAATTCTTTGAAATTATATACAAAGTCTCAGGCTCACTTCCAAGCTGTACACGTGTGAAACTGTAAAATGGCAAAGACTTTCAGAAGTGGTGATTAAAATAGACCACCATTAGTGTCCCGTACTGGCCCCTGGGTGGTGAACATAAGAAGTAGAACAGAATAGCAACACAAAGCCTTTGAAAACTAAACTGATGTTGAAACCACGATCCACAGGATGTGGGTCAGAACTTGCAGTATAGACCTTTCTGGGTTTATTGTCCCCTAAAACAAATAAAAATTTTAAATAAAATTAGCACTCTCCAGAAGATTTTAGCAACACACAGTTTCATAATGCAGTGTTAAGATGTCCAGGATATAATCCAAACTTACTTGACATACAGAAACTAGGAAAATATAAATAAACCTTATCAATTAGTTCATTTTGAAATTTTCAATAAATGGAAAGGTTCTTTCCATGTATAAATATGTCTATATATAAAACATATATATGTTTGTAACATATGCATACACACATTATAAATTATATATAGTGCTTATATAATATTATGTACATTGTTCCCAAATTAACCCATTTAAAAATCAGATATATATTCCTTAAATGAGGAAAATAGACCAAATTATTATTTTAAGTGGTTATTAAAAATAATTATTGTTCTCTAAACATCAAATATTTTCTGTATTATTTTAATTTAATCAATAGAGCAAAGAGATTTTAGGATGTGGGTAGCATTATAAGTGCAGACTTTTTTTTCCTTTCTACTTTTCAGTAAAACTCTTATTGAAATGGTAACCAAAATCCATAAATTGTGTTAAACATTTTTTATATTAAAGAAATTATGTATACATGCATATGTTTTTTAAAAAATTAACCGAATAGTAAAAAAGGCTTATAATGAAAAGCAAAAGTCTTCTGCTCTATAGCTTTTCCAGCTCCATTATTAATTTCCATTCAACAGATTTTCTCCCAGGTATTTTTTACATTCTTTAAACTTACAAAGAAGATGCTTTTACTGCCATTATTTCTATAAAAAATTTAGGTATTGTTCATTGATGACGTGATGTTAGATAATATTTAGCTTTCTAATACTAGCTATACAAGTCTTTCCATTCTACCAGTACAGCATATTACTAACTTTAATTAATTTATTGATTATTTTTCAAACTTTTAAAGCCTTGTTTACACATTTTTCTTATTCTATTAACTCTAGAAGGCACACCTGTATTTGCAATTACTTACAAATGGACTCACTATCACCTCTACTCTTCACCTCACTTCTTCTTCTATCTCCTAAATGCAGTCATTTGTAATTACTTCTTTTAGTTGCTGAGCTTAATCATTATAAAGCAGAATGTAAAATTAAGTTACTGTGTTTTGTCTATACGTTTTTATCTTGCAACCTTGAAATCAATAAACAATTGATATTAGATTAGTATGTTTATTACTAACTGAAAGTATGTTCATCTGATAACCACATGAAGCCTGATGATATTTTCTTAATCCTAGATGGGGAAATAAAAACCAAAACAAAACAACGATTTTTTATCTCTTAAATAGAAACCTAAATACTATTAGTATAATGTTAATGGACTTACTGTTTAGACTTCCAAAAATCTGGTTCCAGGACCCAAGACTTTAGCCAAAGCCCCTGATAATTCTGTTGCAGAAAATCTACAGACACTTTTATTAAAGTAAGTCTAGAGCTTTGCTACTGAAAGTGTGGTTCTCTTAGGGTCTGCAGATATAATACAGGGTACTCAGCTTAAATTAAAATCTTGGATAACCAATGAAGAATGTTTTAGTGTAAGTCTGTCTGTCCTATGCAATATTTAGGGCATACTTATACTAAAATACTTATTTGAAATTCAAATTTAACTAGGAGTTCTATATTTCATCTGCTAAATCTGCCAATCCTAATCCTTCAGACCAGAAGCACTAACATCAGCTAGGAATTTATTTAAAATATAGAGTCTCTAGCCCCACTTTAGATTTACTGAATCAAAATTTTCTAGTTAACAGTGTATCTAGGATACTATTAATTCAGTTTTACATGTAAAGCAGTTGGAAGTCATCATTCAAAAAAATATTTAAAAAACTGAGAATCAACAACTTTTATTTGTCCCTACCTCCCCCAGGAAGCTAGGGTTGCAAAAGAAATTGTGATCCCCAATTGGAGAGTCAGGTGAATTCAGAGTTATTATCAACATCTGACTACCTGGAGCCATAAACTTGAAGGAATGTATACGTGGTAAATTTGATAAATTGTTGAAGGCTGTGTGAAGCCTAGTATGAGTGCAAGGAACACCTGGGGGCTGCAGTATTAGGGTGACCTCCACACTTTTGAAGATTTTTGCCTCCCAGAAGTAAACCAGGTTTCACAGTGAAAAGCCAAAGAAGTTTCCCTGTGGCTTTGTCAAGGAGAGGAGAAGAGTAACACTTTTGAAATATGCTCAAAGTATTCACCATACAGATGTCATACATTTTGTGGTAAAATAATTGACTAGAGTCTTATGTCACATGGGACAAAGGCATGTCCCCAATCCCAGATCCTTCTAGCCTTCTTGTCTCACAGGAGATGCTAAGAAACACTTATAAAATTCACAGCCCAGAAACATGAGACCATCAAAAGACTGAGATTTAATTATAAAATTATATAATATTTCCATTCCATGATACCTTATAACCATACCAGAAGGTTCCAACTTCAAAACAATGGCTTCGAGCTAAACAATCTGCAGGATGCAGACTGTATCTAAGGAAAAGTTCATAAGGAAACCCGAAGACAACAGGAGAGAAAACAGGAACACTAAAGAAAGCTGAAGCCTCTGGCTCTTACAGATCCAGTAAACATAAAACAGAGCTCAACTCTAAGGTATATTAATTAGCACGAAACCCCACACTAAAAGCTTATCTACTCGCATTTTTATAAACCAATACATTATGTACTGCAATCAACAAAAAATTACAAGGCATGGCAACAGGCAAAAAATAACCACATTCTCAGGACACAAAACAAGCATTAGAACGAGATAAGATATGATGCAGATTTTGTAATTATCAGATACGGAATGTAAAAATAACTATGATTAATATGTTAAAAACTAATAGAAAAAGTACACAACATGAAAGAACACAAAAGTAATATAAGCAAAGGCCTGGAAATTCTAGAAGGAATCAAAAGGAAATGCAAGTATTAAATAGGATATCTAGATGGACTGTATGTACATGAAGTTTTAGAAGCAGCAGTCTAGAGTATGGTTGAGCAAGTGAGTTTCACACAAACTCTGATGTACTATTTAATTTAATCTCCCTCTTGAGGCAGATGTCTATTTGACTTGTCCTAAGTGTCCTATTCACATGAGATTTTTATCTTCTGAGCCAGGAAGCCACCCCTCATTGGATATTTTTCAACTTGATTAAAAGAAAAGAATCATAGAATGTTTTGTCTGGATAATACCCAAGGAAAATTCAACCTATTATTCTCATTTTAAATACAGACACTGAAATCTAGGGTCACCTCTGTGCTTCCTATTGGTATTACCAAAACTGTAATAGGGATTTTCATGTATAGGGGATGTTCCTGGTTCTATACAATAAGATAGGAAGATAAAGCTGGGCTATAGCACCAATTAAAAACTCTTTTTCATTTACAACTTGAGTTCTTTAAGCCTAACAAATTTCTAACGTACTAACTAAAACCTAAGAGGCTAAAAGAATATTCACATCTAGAAAATGGAAGACAAACCAAATCTGGTAAATTTTCATCATCTTATACAGTTTAATCCTCCTCTCATTTCTTATCATCATCACCAACCTCTCTTTGACAGAGTCTTTACAGCTCAAAAGCAAGTCAAAACTCGTACCAGAATTGATTGTCACAAAACCTTATGAGTTTAAAAGCCCAGGAAACATCATTCCCAGTTTTCAGATGACAAACAGAAATTCTGAGAGCTAATATAACCTACTGCAGGTCATGTGACTACCACTAAACTTATCATCAGGGCCATTCAAATGAAATTCTCTAAATTAACGAGTGAATAAATAAATCAATGCATGAGTGTCCCGACTTCAAATGTGCTTAAATATGAACTAGAATATTTTAAAACACACCTTCAGTAACCATATCAGTTGAAGAGCTTAAGCATATATCCAGTGGAATCCAAATCTTTGTAAGTTTGAAAAAAATAAAATGATAGTGTTTGCTCTTCCTACAATGGGTTGTTTTCCTTAAAGTATTATGATAACTTCTGGTAACTGGGGAAAGTAAAAAGTTATTTGAAAGTCAAACAATTATAAGCTAAAAAAAATAAAAACAGAAAAAGTGTTTTTCGGCCATAGCCATCTATAAGGTATTGTGCAAGAAGTGTATTTTACAATGAGGCAATCTCAGGAAAAGCTACAATAAACCCAATTTTCTTTCAGGGAATTTTCACTGTTTTAAATCTCATTTCCTTTTGTTTTTTCTAAATTTTTGTAATACAGCTCAGGAGATTGGTGACAAAAACAACATAATGAATTTTCAGGCTGCATAATTTATGACTCCATACTCATAGCAACAGTTTTAACCTCCACTGGTATTTACATTTGCCCTCTATTTCCCAGATTCAAATGGTCTTTCTAAAGAGATTGGTTTCATGCAGAGACAGGATAGTAATCAGAAATTTCTGTCTTACTCACAATAAATCAGAGTGATCTCTGTCTGCATTTGTGGCCACCACTGAAACAAAACGCACCTCTGACTGAGGAATGCATGTGGGCTATTAACTGCTTGAGTTTTTATTTCCCTTAAAGATACTTTTTTGAATTAGTTTAATGTTTCCAAAATAGGGTGTCTTCATGGCATATTAAAACAATTTAACTAACAGCTGAAGTCCTTGCCAGTTCATAAAACCACGTGTTAGATATCGTAATTATAGCAAATATCTGTGATGCGGAAAAGGAAAGAGAAAAAATAAAAACAGAAGTATATATTTTATTGATATTTTAATAAATAAATTGCCGACACACCCTTTAAATTCAGACTCTTTTACTGAAGCAAATCAGAATATAAAGTGTTCCTCCATCACGTTAAATAGAATAGAGCCACGTGAGGGTATTGCAGCAGAAATGCTATTGACAATAGCAGAAGATGCATAAATTACTTGAAAATTTGAGTCGGAAGAAATTGACATTCAAAAGACCCAGGCAGCCCAGACAGTCCATTATCCATTTAACCGCATAACTGCCTCAGACACAACTGCCTGATCATTGCTGGCCCAGATGCTTTAGCGAGAAAACTGTCTACAACAGCTAAGCATCTGGATGTAGCAATTGTTACGATAAGGATGAAATCATTTATAAGGAACCTTAAAAAGACAGGAATTTTGCCTTGCCAGAGAGAACCAGTGGGCAAGATGCCAAAGCAGCACATACTACACATCAAGATATGTGGTGAGAAGCAAGTCATGCATTGTTCTGCTTAAAGTCAAAATTCAGACACACTCATAGAATTGAACACACTTGAAGATTCTTAATACCATTTAGTGAGTACAATGAGGAAATGCTGATGATGATGCTTCTATACTGTTTTTGTTATTAGAAGTTGATCTAACTCTTCTTAATTTTCATGTAAGAGTCTGTATTGTTTTGTTATTTTGATTCCTAACAGTCTAGATTTTGAACATTAATGTTGCGGACAAAGATGTGAAAGGAAAAATTTGGCTGTCTGATGAACAGGAAGAAGAGAAATTAGAGGATATGTGTCCATTAGTCCACATTATGACAAAATAGTTAATAAATTCTGAGATAAAATCATTCAAAGCAGCTCGCTGAAGTTCCATGAATGACAAGCAAAACAAAGGACCCTCTTTTTCAACAATTATATAGGCATAGCCATTCCAGCAGGTAAAATTAAATGCAGCTGTGTCACTATCTGAACTGTCATGTTCAGCATCATACACATAGTTTTACTTCTTAACTTACTCTAACATCTAGGATAAGGTTCTTGACTCCAGGAAAATCCATTAGGGCATCTCCAAAAGACAGACTGGGGAGTGATAGACGTGCTAAACTACCAAAGTAGTTAGCCAAAGAGTAAGTGATAAAGCCACAGCCAAATTGGAAAGTAAAAATAAATGCCACAAAGATGGTGATGAATAGTCATTCATTCATTTATTTATTCTTCAGATACTGATTGAGCATCCATGACCTGCCAGACTTAATGGGAATGAGTAAGAATGAAGTAGACAAATCCTTTTTTCTTGAGATGATCATTATACTAGTGATTAGTGTGGGATGATTGTTGTACCACTATTTCTGGCCTCCAACTCTCTCCTACTGAACTAACTTCTATGGAGCTTAGATTTCTCAATCAACACATAATCAAACTTTCCACATTTTATTAGTCAAATTACAGTTTGAGAACCACTGATCTATTGAGATTCGGATTGCTAAACTGACCATTTCAATGAAACATCTTGACACATAGCTTTGCCTCTTTACTTTGTCAAATCTTTATTTTACAAATTTAAAAATTACTTTAACAAATTACATTTTATTTTTCTTGATTCAGGCTTTATTTTTCAAACAAAATAGTTTATGTCTATAAACCTTCTTAAAGTTTTTCTTAGCTGAAACTCATTTTAAGTAACCATCCAAGAAAAGAGACAATAACTCACATAGTGTTGGTATTATATAACATCAGTGAACTTCTACAACATTTCTATTACTCCAAAAAGCTCCTTCTTGTTACCTTTCAGGTAAGCCCCATCAGCTTCCCAAGTCTGTGGCTTTAACAGCAAGGCACAGATGATGGACACAAAGGTTTTTTAATAGAAGGATTATGAAGAGGGCAACATGTAGTTTCTTATAGTTAAAAGTTAAAACTATAGAAAGAATGCCTGGATCTACCAGTCCCATGACATAACAGTTGTGTATTGCATGTTTCATTTTATGAGGTAACTACTGTTCTGATTTTTATCATAATAAATTATTTTGCCTGCTCTCATACTTCTTATATGCACTTTGGTTTCTGGTTCCTTTCACTTAACATGATGTTTTTTGAGATTTATCCATGTTTCTGAGTGTTTTAGTAATTCATTCTTTATTGCAGAGTATATTCCACATTTTCTTAATCCAGTTTCCTTTTGATAGACAGTTGGTTCATTTCCAGTTTTTATTTTCCAGACACAAACTTTTCTTTTTCTCCAATAAATACCTAGGAATAGAATTATGGGGTCATAGGATATAGGTATGTCTAATTTTATATGATAATATCTTCAGCTTTCCAAAGTGACTGTATAGTTTTACACATATACCAAATATGTTGATAGTTTCACTGTTCCATATGCTAGCCAATATTGCATATCATCAGTCTTTCTGATTTTGTTTTTGTAACTGTTCTAGTGGATTCAAAACAATGTGTAATTGGGGTTTTAATATGCATTTTCATACACATAATAATGTTAGATACCATTTTATGTGCTTGTTAGTTATTTGTATAACTTCTTTTGTAATGTGTCTGTTCAAGTCCCCTACTTTTGAGTTATTGAGTTATGTGTTGCTGATTTTTATTTCTTCTTCTGTCCTAAATACAAATATTTTGTTAGATATATATGTTCCAGTGTTTTATCTCAGTCCCTGTCCTGCTGTTTTATTTAACTAACAGTGTTTCGGCGTGAGTAAAAGGGTGTGTGTGTGTATGTGAATAAATTCAAATCCATCTTTTGAAAAAATGTAGTGGTTTTTAAAACTAGTTGAAGGAATCTTTGTCTACCCCAAGGTGATAAAATATTTCCTCTTATGCTTTCTTACATAAACCTTAATGTTTTAAGTGATGCATTTATGTCAGTAATCTTTTTGGAATTAATCTTTGTGTACAGTGTGATATAGGAGTCAAAGTTAAGTTTTTTATGTCTCACATATTTTAATGTGTGCCAATGCTTTATCTAAATGTTGTTCAGATTTTAAAATAACTTCTACAGAATATGTTTGAGGTATTTTCTTAATGAACTTTATTTTGTAGAGAAGTTTTAGGTTCCCAGCAAAAATCAAGTAAAAAGTACGAAAATCCATACACCTACTTTCCATTCCTCACAAACACACACCCTTCTCCCATCAACATCCCATACCAGAGTAGTATATTTGTTACAATAAATGAACCTATATTGGCACATCATTATCACTCAAAGTCCATAGTTTACCATTAGAATGTATTCTTGGTGTTCCATATTCTGTGAGTTGGGATCAGTGTATAATGATATATCCACCAATATAACATCATACAGAGTTTCACCACCCTTAAAATCCTCTCTGTTCTACTGATTCACCCTGCTCAACTCTCTAACTCCTGGTAAGCACTGGTTCTTTCACTATCTTCATAGTTTTTCATTTTACAGAACATTATATAGATGGAATCATACAGGATGTAGCCTTTTCAGATTGCCTTCTTTTACTTGGTAATATGCATTTAACTTTCCTTCATGTCTTTTAATGACATAATAGTTCATTTATTTTTAGTGCCATATAATATTGCATTATCTCAGTGTACCAGAGATTATCTAGTTACTTCAAGTTTGGTAATTGTTAATAAAGCTGTTATAAATATCCATATGCAGGTTTGAGTGGGGACATAAGTTTTCAACTGTTTTAGGAAAATACCAAAGAGTGCAATTACGGGATCATAGGGTAAGAATATGTTTACCTTTATAAGAAATCATCAAACTATTTTCCAAAGTAGCTGTATCATTTTGCATTTCTCTCAACTATTAATGAGAGCTCCTGTTGCTCCACATTCTCGCTAGCATTTAGTGTTGTTAGTGTTTTGGATTTTGGTCATTCTAATAGGTATGTAGTAATATTTAATTGTTGTTATAATTTGCATTTTCCTCGTGACACACTTTGAGCATCTTTTCACATGCTTATTGGATATCTATGTATCCTCTTTGGTTAGGTTTCCATTCTGGTGTTTTTCTTCACTTTTAATTAAGTTATCTATTTTCTTATTGTTGACTTTCAATGGTCTTTTTGTATGCTTTAAATAGCAGTTTTCTATCAAAGTTATTCTTCATACTTTTTCCAGTTATTTCAGAACCAATTTTTGGAAGAATATTTTACTCCCCATTGAATTACACTCATGCTTTTATGTAAAATTAATTGGCAGTGTTCAATCTGGACAGTAAGGCATGAACTTTTCTCTCTCCCTCTTCCTGTTAAATACAACTATAAATCCCAGAAATAATACAACCAAAGTAGAACTGTGAAAACTGGAAGACAAAGGCAAACTTACTAGAAAGCTGTTATAAATATCCATATGCAGATTTGAGTGGGGACATAAGTTTTCAACTATTTTAGATAAATACCAAAGAGTGCAATTATGGGATCTGGAAGAACAATAGAGAGGTAGGGCATGTTATGACCTTATACTCAAAAGAAAGTGACATACACCACGAACATGGCAACAAATTTTGACATGATTTCTCTCTGGAATGGAAGAGTAGTCTTACAAAATACCAAGCAAGCCAGGCAACATGTGATAAACCGATCAGACAAAAATATCACCACAGAGGCTCTGAAAATTAGTTTATCATTGGAAACAAAGCCCAGAAATGTAAGCCAAGACTTGCATGGTCAACCAACAGAAGATAATTGCCCAATAAAATAAACATTTATATGACCCAAATATCTTAATATATCCTACACACACACACACACACACACACACCCCAAATATCCAGGGAACACTTAAAAATCACTCATAATACCAAGAAGCAGAAAAATTACAACTTGGAAATAAAGGAAAATCAACTGATACCAACACTGAGATGAATCAGATATTAGAATCACTTGACAAAGATTTTAAAGCAACTATTATAAAAATAATTAAAAAACTAATTATAAATATTCTTAAAAACAAAAAATAGAAAAATTTCAGCAAATAAATAAAAGTTATAAAAAAGTACCAAATGAAAATTATACTGAAAAATATGATAGCAGAATTTTGAAACAAATCTCACTGGATGGACTCAATAGTAAATAGTAACAAAAAATAGAATCAGTAAACTTGAGGACTGATCAATAGGCTTTACTCAATAGAAGCAACAGAGATAAAGTAGACTAAGTCAAGAAACGGTTACCACCAACACCAGTGCAGACCGAATGGGTTCCAGAGGGTTGTCTGACGACTGCTACTACCATCAGTCATTCCATACCCACTGCCCAGGGGCTCAAGAGCCTACCCACTCACCCAACCCACTGCTGCCATTCTCAACCCTCAAGAAAGCCACCTGGGCCTGGCGTAGTGACTCACACCTATAATCCCAGCACTTTGGGAGGCCGAGGTAGGTGAATGACTTGAGGTCAGGAGTTTAAGAGCAGCCTAGCCAATATAGTGAAACCTCGTCTCTGCTAAAAATACAAAAATTAGCTGGGTGTCATGGCACAAGCCTGTAATCCCAACTACTTGGGAGGGTGAGGCAAGAGAATTGCTTGAACCTGAGAGACGGAGTTTGCAGTGAGCTGAGATCACACCATTGCAGTCCAGCCTGGGTGACAGAGTGAGACTCCATCTCAAAAAAGAAAAAAAAAAGAAAGCAAATCCACCTGGAGTTCTACGGATTCACCTGCCTAGTCTCATGCTAGTGTATAGTGCCATAGGGCCCCAAACAGGCCCTCTTAGCCCACAGCAGCCATGACTAGGACTTGAAGACTGGCTCAGTTGGCATCCCAGACCCTAGAAAAACTTCATCACAGCCTTCATTGACAACTGCACCCTAAGTTACTGAGAAAATCACAGACATCACTGATGCTTTTTATAGCTGAAGAAATCATACAGAGACTATACTTCTGCATGTCCTCAGATTTAAAACATAAGTACTCTGCCCAACCAACATCCTAGATACATCTTCAGGAAAACATCTTCCCTTACAGAAGCAAATTCAAAAAAATACAAGAAGTAACCATTACACTAGATGCACAGTTATCGATGTAAGGACACAGGAAACATGGAAAAGCCAGGAAATGTGACACTTCCAAGTATATAATAATTTTTCAGCAACAGATCTCAGTCGAAAAGAAATTTACAGGCTTGGTTTGGTGGCTAATGCCTGAAGTCCCAGCACTTTTAGAGATCAAGACAAGAGGATTACTTGAAGCCAGTAGCTTGAGATGAGTCTTGGCAACATCAGGAGACCATATCTTTACAATTTTTTTTTAATTAGTGAGGTTTGATGGCTTGTACCTGTAGCCCTAGCTACATGGAGACAGAGGCAGGAGGATAATTTGAGTCTAGGAGTTCAAGGTTACAGTGAGCTAGGATGGCACCACTGCACTCTAGCCTGAGTAATAGAGTAAGACTCTGTCTCTAATTTAAAAAAAGAAAAAAAGGAATTTATGAAGTCCTGGAAAAAGAATTTGAAATATTAAAGAAGTTCAGTGAGATACAGGATAATACTGCTAAATAATACAAAGAAATCATAAATATAATTTAGAATATGAATGAGAAATTTACTGAGAGAGATATCATTAAAAAGAGAATAAAAATTCTGGAATTAAATAATATTTTGAATAAAATATAAAATACACTTGAAAGTTTCAATACTAAATTAAATCAAGCAGAAGAAAAAACCTCAGAACTTGAAGACAGATCTTTTGAAATAACCGTGTCAGACTAAAATAAAGAAAAAAGAACAAAAAAGAGTGAGCAAAGCCTACCTGACATACAGGACACCAGAAGGCCACCAAATATTGAATATTTTGTGTTCCAGAAGTCAAAATGAAAATAAAAGAATTAGAAAACCCATTTAACAAAATAATAGATGAAAACTTCATAATTCCCACAACAGATTTAGACATCCAGATACAGATGGTTCAGAAATCCCCAAATAGATGCAATGTAGAAAAACCTTCACAGCAGATTATAGTTAAACTATCTAAAGTCAAAGACAAAGAGAGAATTCTGAAAACAGCAAGAGGAAAGCATCTAGTTATTAATAAGGGAACCCCCATTAGACTAACAGTGGATTTATCAGCAAAATCCTTACAGAGCAGGAGATAATGAGATGATATAGTCAAAGTGATGAAAGAAAAAAAAAACTGTCAAACAAACATACTATACCCAGCAAAGGTATCCCTTGTAAATTAAGGAAATATAAAGTCTTTCCCAGACAGGCAAATACTGAGGGAATTCATCACCACTAGACTGGCTATACAGGAAATCCTTAAGGGAGTCCTATAGCTGGAAAAAAAAAGGAATAATATCTATCTTCATGAAAACACATGAAAATATAAAAACCATTGGTAGAGCAAACACACAAAGACTGAAATATTATCACTACAGTAAACCACCAAACCACAATGATAAACAATAAGAGAGAAAGAAAGGAACAAAAAATATACAAAACAACCAGAGATCAATTAATAAAATGGAAAGAATAAGCTCTCCAGTATCAATAACTTTGAATATTTGCAGATTAAATTTTCCATGTAAAACAGATAGATTAACTGAAGGTATAAATAAACATGGCCTATTTGCTGCCTAAAAGAAATTTATCTCACATGTTAAAAAATACACAGACAAAGTAAAGAGGTGGAAAAAGATATTCCATGCAAATGAAAACCAAAAGAGAGGAGGAGCAACTATATTCGTATCAGATAAAACAGACTTTAGGTCAAAAACCATAGAAAGAAGGCCATTATATAATGATTACGGGATCAATTTAGTAAGAAAATATAAGAATTATAAACATATATAAACTCAGCACCAGAGTACCAAGATACATAAAACAAATATTATTAGATCTAAAGAGAGATATAGACTTCAATACAATAATAGTTGCGGACCTCAACACCTTACTCTCAGCATTAGCCATATTATCTAAACAGATAACTAACAAAGAAACTTTGGATTTAAACTGCTCATTAAAGAAAATGGACCAAACAGAAATTTATAGAACATTTTACCCAACAGCTACAGAATACACATTCTTCTTAACAACATGGAATATCCTCCAGGATAGACCATATTTTAGGGCACAAAACAAGTCTCATCAAATCTTAAAAACTTGAAATTATATCAAGAATCTTGACAGATCACAATGAAATAAAACTAGAAATCAAAAACAAGAGAAACTTTGCAAACTGTACATAATACAAGGAAATTAAACAACACGTTCCTGAATGACATAAGGTAAATTTTTTTTGAATCTTGAAACAAATGAAAATCGGAACACACCATATAAAAATCTATGAGATATAGCAAAAGCAGTAAAGTTTATAACAATAAACATTAACAACAAAAATGTAGAAGGCTTTCAAATCAGTAATACAATGATGTATCTCAAGGAATTAGGCTATTACAAACCAAACACAAAACTATTAAAAGGCAAAATATAAAGAAAATGTGATACATATACACTATAGAATACACATAGCCACAAAAAAGATTGAATCAGGAAAAAAATAGAAAATAAACAGATCAATAATGAGTAATGGAATTGAAATAATAATAAAAATTATTGCAAGAAATAAAAGTCCAGAACTGGGTAGCTTAACTGAAATCATATATTTAACTTTCAATGAAGTATCACCATTTCTTCTCAAGTATTACCAAAAAAAAAAAAATGAAGATGAGGAAATTATCTGTAAGTCATTCTACCAGGCCAGCATAATTCATATGCCAAAACCAGACAAGGACGCAACAAAAAGAGAAAACTAGATGCCAGTGTTTCTGATAAACATAGATACAACAATTGTCAACAAAATATTAGAACCAAATCCAATAACATGTCAAAAAAATTATATTAAGATCAAGTCCAATTTATCCCAGGGATGCAAGGATGGTTCAACATACACAAATCAATAAATGTAAATTATCACATTAATAGAATGAAGGACAAAAACCATAAAGATAATCTCAATAAATGCAGACAAAGCATTTGAAAAAGTAATATTGTTTTATTATAAAAACTCTCAGCAAACTAGGCATAGAAGAAACATATCTCAACCTCATAAAGGCTGTATATGACAAAACCACAGCTAATGTCATACTCAATGAGGAAAATCTGAAGCCTTTTATGTAGGAACTGGATCAAAACAAGGATGTCCACTTGCACCACTCATATTCAATATAGTACTAGACATCATAGCCAGAGTGATTAGGCAAAATAAAAAAAATAAAGAGCCTCCAAAATGAAAAAGAAGAAGTCAAATTGTTTCTCTTTACTAATGATATGATCTTATATCTGAAAGGTTTCTAAAGAATTCACCAAAAATCTCTTAGATCTAATAAATAAATTCAATAAAGTTGCAGGATATAAAATCAGCATACAAAAGCAGTAGAATTTCTATACACCAATAATGAACTGAGAAAGAAAGAAATAAATTATTTCCATTTACAATAGCTACCAAAAGTGTATAAAATACCTAGTGATATAGTTAACCAAGGAAATGAATGATCTCTACAAGGAAAACTATACCTCACTAATAAAAGAAATTGAAATGGACACAAATACAAAGATATCCCACACTAATGGATCAAGAGAATCAATATTGTTGAAATAACCATACTGCCGAAAAGAATATTTTCAATGCAGTCCCTATCAAAATATCAATGTCATTTTTCACAGTAATAGAAAAAACGATTCTAAAATTTGTGAGGAACCAATAAAGAGCATGAATAACAAAAGCAATCCTGAGCATAAAGAATAAAGCTAGAGACATCACCCCACTTTTTAAAAAAATATATTACAAGGCTACAGTAACAAAATAAGCATGATATTGTTATATATCACAAAAATATTGGCCATTGAAACAGAATAGAGACTCTAAAAATAAATCCACATATTTACATCTAATCGATTTTCAACAAAGGCTCCAATAATATACACTGGGGAAAAAAACACCCTTTTCAATAAATGATGTTAGAAAATTTTGATATCTATATGCAGAAGAATAAAATTTGACCTCTATCTCTCATTCTATACAAAAATCAATTAAACATGGATTAAAAGATTAAATATAAGACTGAAAATATAAAACTGCTAATAGGAAAAATGTTAAAACATTTCAGAACATTGGACTAGACAAAGATTTTATGGCCAAGTTCCCCAAAGCATGATCAACAAAATAAAAAATAGACAAATTGGACTATAGTAAACTAAAAGGCTTCTATACAGCAAAGAAAACAATAAACAGAGTAAAGAGTCAACCTGTTGAATGGGAGAGACTATTTGCAAACTATTCATCTTTCAAGGGACTAATATCTTGGATATACAAGGTGCTCACACTTCTCAACAGTTAAAAAAAAAAAGAGTCCCATTACAAAAGTGAGCAGGCCAGGCATGGTGGCTCACACCTATAATCCCTGCACTTTGGGAGGCCTAAGTGGGGGGATCACCTGAGGTCAGGAGTTCGAGACCAGCCTGTCCAACACGGTGAAACCCTGTCTCTACTAAAAATACAAAAAATTAGCCAGGTATGGTGTTGCATGCCTGTAATTCCAGCTACTTGGAAGGCTGAGGCAGGAGAATCGCTTGAACCCGGGAGGTGGAGGTTGCAGCAAGCCAAGATTGCACCATTGCACTCTAGCTTGGGTAACAACAGCGAAACTCCGAGAAAAAAAAAAAAAGTGAACAAGAACATGTGCAGACATTTCTCAAAAGAAGACATACAATTGGCCAACAAACCTATGAAAAAATTCTTAATATCACTAATCATTAGGGAAATGTAAATCAAAACCATAATGAGATATAATCTTACCCTAATTAAAATGGCTATTATTAGAAAGACAAAAATTAACAGACACTGGCAAGGATGCAGAGATTAGGGAACTCTTACACACTGCTAGTGGGAATGTAAATTAGCATAGCCACTATGGAAAACAGTATGGAGATTTGTTTAAAGAGTAAAAATAGAACTACCACAAAATTCAGCAATCCCACTACTGGGTATTTATCCACAGGAAAATAAATCAGTATATTAAAAGGATACTTGCACTTGCATGTTAATTGCAGTAGTATTCACAATAGCAAAGATATGAAATCAACACAAATGTCCACCTGTGGAAAAAATGGATAAAGAAAATGTGGTATAGATAAACAATAGAATACTTTTTGACAATAAATAAAGAATAAAATAATGTCATTTGTAGCAACATGGATGGAAGTGGAGGTCATTATGATACATGAAATAACCCAGGAATAGAAAAATAAATATCTCTCATGTTCTCTTTTATATGTAGGAGCTTAAAAAGTTGATCTCATGAAGGTAGAGAGTAGAATAATAGATATCAAAGGCTGGTAAGGGCATGTGGTTGGGAGGAGGCTATAAAAAGAGGTTGCTCAATGAGTATAAACATACAGTTAGGTAGAAGGTGTAAGTCTAATGTCTGATAGAAGGTAGAGTGACTATAGTTGGCAATAATGTATTGGATATTTCAAAGTAGCTAGAAGAAAGGACTTGAAATATTCCCAATACAAAGAAATGATAGTCAAAGTGAGATTCTACAGATACCTTGACTTGATCATTACACATTCTATGCCTATAACAAAATATCTCATTTACTCCATAAATCTGTGAAATATTATGCATAAATTTTTAGAAAGAGAGAAAAATGAACAGGTTCTCAGGTACCTGTGGAATAATAACTAAAGGTCCTAGATGAATCACTTGAATTTCAGAGGAAGAGGACAGACAGTGAAGGTGTAAAGACATATGAAGAAATAATAGCTATTAAGCTCACAAATTTGACTCAATGTATAAACCCATAAATATAAGAAGCTGAGCAAACTCCCAATAAGACAAACCTAAAAGAATCTACAGCAAGATTCATTATAGTGAAAAGGGAAAAATAGTAAAAAAAGAATACAATTTTTGAAAACAGCCAGAGTAAAATGGTATATATCCTATAGGGGAATACCAATTTAAATAATTTCTCATTTTTCATGATAGAGGTAAGAAAGAAGTAGTAGAGCATTTTTCAAATGCTGAAAGAAAAGAACTGGCGGGGGGAGGAGCCAAGATGGCCGAATAGGAACAGCTCCAGTCTACAGCTTCCAGGGTGAGCAACGCAGAAGACGGGTGATTTCTGCATTTCCATCTGAGGTACCAGGTTCATCTCACTAGGGAGTGCCAGACAGTGGGCGCAGGTCAGTGGGTGCGCGCACCGTGCGTGAGCCGAAGCAGGGCGAGGCATTGCCTCACTTGGGAAGCGCAAGGGGTCAGGGAGTTCCCTTTCCGAGTCAAAGAAAGGGGTGACGGACTCACCTGGAAAATCGGGTCACTCCCACCTGAATATTGTGCTTTTCGGACCGGCTTAAAAAACGGGAGATTATATCCCCGAGATTATATCCGGCACCTGGCGTGGAGGGTCCTACGCCCACGGAGTCTCGCTGGTTGCTAGCACAGCAGTCTGAGATCAAACTGCAAGGCGGCAGCGAGGCTGGGGGAGGGGCGCCCGCCATTGCCCAGGCTTGATTAGGTAAACAAAGCAGCTGGGAAGCTCGAACTGGGTGGAGCCCACCACAGCTCAAGGAGGCCTGCCTGCCTCTGTAGGCTCCACCTCTGGGGGCAGGGCACAGACAAACAAAAAGACAGCAGTAACCTCTGCAGACTTAAATGTCCCTGTCTGACAGCTTTGAAGAGAGCAGTGGTTCTCCCAGCACGCAGCTGGAGATCTGAGAAAGGGCAGACTGCCTCCTCAAGTGGGTCCCTGACCCCTGACCCCCGACCCCCGAGCAGCCTAACTGGAAGGCACCCCCCAGCAGGGGCACACTGACATCTCACACGGCAGGGTATTCCAACAGACCTGCAGCTGGGGGTTCTGTCTGTTAGAAGGAAAACTAACAAACAGAAAGGACATCCACACCAAAAACCCATCTGTACATCACCATCATCAAAGACCAAAAGTAGATAAAACCACAAAGATGGGGAAAAAACAGAACAGAAAAACGGGAAACTCTAAAACGCAGAGCGCCTCTCCTCCTCCAAAGGAACGCAGTTCCTCACCAGCAACGGAACAAAGCTGGGTGGAGAATGACTTTGACGAGCTGAGAGAAGAAGGCTTCAGACGATCAAATTACTCTGAGCTATGGGAGGACATTCAAACCAAAGGCAAAGAAGTTGAAAACTTTGAAAAAAATTTAGAAGAATGTATAACTAGAATAACCAATACAGAGAAGTGCTTAAAGGAGCTGATGGAGTTGAAAACCAAGGCTCGAGAACTACGTAAAGAATGCAGAAGCCTCAGGAGCCAATGCAATCAACTGGAAGAAAGGGTATCAGCGATGGAAGATGAAATGAATGAAATGAAGCGGGAAGGGAAGTTTAGAGACAAAAGAATAAAAAGAAATGAGCAAAGCCTCCAAGAAATATGGGACTATGTGAAAAGACCAAATCTACGTCTGATTGGTGTACCTGAAAGTGATGGGGAGAATGGAACCAAGTTGGAAAACACTCTGCAGGATATTATCCAGGAGAACTTCCCCAATCTAGCAAGGCAGGCCAACGTTCAAATTCAGGAAATACAGAGAACGCCACAAAGATACTCCTCGAGAAGAGCAACTCCAAGACACATAATTGTCAGATTCACCAAAGTTGAAATGAAGGAAAAAATGTTAAGGGCAGCCAGAGAGAAAGGTCGGGTTACCCTCAAAGGGAAGCCCATCAGACTAACAGCGGATCTCTTGGCAGAAACCCTACAAGCCAGAAGAGAGTGGGGGCCAATATTCAACATTCTTAAAGAAAAGAATTTTCAACCCAGAATTTCATATCCAGCCAAACTAAGCTTCATAAGTGAAGGAGAAATAAAATACTTTACAGACAAGCAAATGCTGAGAGATTTTGTCACGACCAGGCCTGCCCTAAAAGAGCTCCTGAAGGAAGCGCTAAACATGGAAAGGAACAACCGATACCAGCCGCTGCAAAATCATGCCAAAATGTAAAGACCATTGAGACTAGGAAGAAACTGCATCAACTAATGAGCAAAATAACCAGCTAACATCATAATGACAGGATCAAATTCACACATAACAATATTAACTTTAAATGTAAATGGACTAAATGCTCCAATTAAAAGACACAGTCTGGCAAATTGGATAAAGAGTCAAGACCCATCAGTATGCTGTATTCAGGAAACCCATCTCACGTGCAGTGACACACATAGGCTCAAAATAAAAGGATGGAGGAAGATCCACCAAGCCAATGGAAAACAAAAAAAGGCAGGGGTTGCAATCCTAGTCTCTGATAAAACAGACTTTAAACCAACAAAGATCAAAAGAGACAAAGAAGGCCATTACACAATGGTAAAAGGATCAATTCAAGAAGAAGAGCTAACTATCCTAAATATATATGCACCCAATACAGGAGCACCCAGATTCATAAAGCAAGTCCTGAGTGACCTACAAAGAGACTTAGACTCCCACACATTAATAATGGGAGACTTTAACACCCCACTGTCAACATTAGACAGATCAATGAGACAGAAAGTCAACAAGGATACCCAGGAATTGAACTCAGCTCTGCACCAAGCAGACCTAATAGACATCTACAGAACTCTCCACCCCAAATCAACAGAATATACATTTTTTTCAGCACCACACCACACCTATTCCAAAATTGACCACATACTTGGAAGTAAAGCTCTCCTCAGCAAATGTAAAAGAACAGAGATTATAACAAACTATCTTTCAGACCACAGTGCAATCAAACTAGAACTCAGAATTAAGAATCTCACTCAAAACCACTCAACTACATGGAAACTGAACAACCTGCTCCTGAATGACTACTGGATACATAACGAAATGAAGGCAGAAATAAAGATGTTCTTTGAAACCAACAAGAACAAAGACACAACATACCAGAATCTCTGGGATGCATTCAAAGCAGTCTGTAGAGGGAAATTTATAGCACTAAATGCCCACAAGAGAAAGCAGGAAAGATCCAAAATTGACACCCTAACATCACAATTAAAAGAACTAGAAAAGCAAGAGCAAACACATTCAAAAGCTAGCAGAAGGCAAGAAATAACTAAAATCAGAGCAGAACTGAAGGAAATAGAGACACAAAAAACCCATCAAAAAATTAATGAATCCAGGAGCTGGTTTTTTGAAAGGATCAACAAAATTGATAGACTGCTAGCAAGACTAATAAAGAAAAAAATAGACACAATAAAAAATGATAAAGGGGATATCACCACCGATCCCACAGAAATACAAACTACCATCAGAGAATACTACAAACACCTGTACGGAAATAAACTAGAAAATCTAGAAGAAATGGATAAATTCCTCGACACATACACTCTCCCAAGACTAAACCAGGAAGAAGTTGAATCTCTGAATAGACCAATAACAGGAGCTGAAATTGTGGCAATAATCAATAGTTTACCAACCAAAAAGAGTCCAGGACCAGATGGATTCACAGCCGAATTCTACCAGAGGTACAAGGAGGAACTGGTACGATTCCTTCTGAAACTATTCCAATCAATAGAAAAAGAGGGAATCCTCCCTAACTCATTTTATGAGGCTAGCATCATTCTGATACCAAAGCCGGGCAGAGACACAACCAAAAAAGAGAATTTTAGACCAATATCCTTGATGAACATTGATGCAAAAATCCTCAATAAAATACTGGCAAAATGAATCCAGCAGCACATCAAAAAGCTTATCCACCATGATCAAGTGGGCTTCATCCCTGGGATGCAAGGCTGGTTCAATATATGAAAATCAATAAATGTAATCCAGCATATAAACAGAGCCAAAGACAAAAACCACATGATTATCTCAATAGATGCAGAAAAGGCCTTTGACAAAATTCAACAACCCTTCATGCTAAAAACTCTCAATAAATTAGGTATTGATGGGACGTATTTCAAAATAATAAGAGCTATCTATGACAAACCCACAGCCAATATCATACTGAATGGGCAAAAACTGGAAGCATTCCCTTTGAAAACTGGCACAAGACAGGGATGCCCTCTCTCACCACTCCTATTCAACATAGTGTTGGAAGTTCTGGCCAGGGCAATTAGGCAGGAGAAGAAAATAAAGGGTATTCAATTAGGAAAAGAGGAAGTCAAATTGTCCCTGTTTACAGACGATATGATTGTATATCTAGAAAACCCCATTGTCTCAGCCCAAAATCTCCTTAAGCTGATAAGCAACTTCAGCAAAGTCTCAGGATACAAAATCAATGTACAAAAATCACAAGCATTCTTATACACCAACAACAGACAAACAGAGAGCCAAATCATGAGTGAACTCCCATTCACAATTGCTACAAAGAGAATAAAATACCTAGGAATCCAACTTACAAGGGATGTGAAGGACCTCTTCAAGGAGAACTACAAACCACTGCTCAAGGAAATAAAAGAGGATACAAACAAATGGAAGAACATTCCATGCTCATGGGTAGGAAGAATCAATATCGTGAAAATGGCCATACTGCCCAAGGTAATTTACAGATTCAATGCCATCCCCATAAAGCTACCAATGACTTTCTTCACAGAATTGGAAAAAACTACTTTAAAGTTCATATGGAACCAAAAAAGAGCCCGCACCACCAAGTCAATCCTAAGCCAAAAGAACAAAGCTGGAGGCATCACGCTACCTGACTTCAAACTATACTACAAGGCTACAGTAACCAAAACAGCATGATACTGGTACCAAAACAGAGATATAGATCAATGGAACAGAACAGAGCCCTCAGAAATAACAGCGCATATCTACAACTATCTGATCTTTGACAAACCTGAGAAAAACAAGCAATGGGGAAAGGATTCCCTATTTAATAAATGATGCTGGGAAAACTGGCTAGCCATATGTAGAAAGCTGAAACTGGATCCCTTCCTTACACCTTATACAAAAATCAATTCAAGATGGATTAAAGACTTAAACGTTAGACCTAAAACCATAAAAACCCTAGAAGAAAACCTAGGCATTACCATTCAGGACATAGGCATGGGCAAGGACTTCATGTCCAAAACACCAAAAGCAATGGCAACAAAAGCCAAAATTGACAAATGGGATCTAATTAAACTAAAGAGCTTCTGCACAGCAAAAGAAACTACCATCAGAGTGAACAGGCAACCTACAAAATGGGAGAAAATTTTCACAACCTACTCATCTGACAAAGGGCTAATATCCAGAATCTACAATGAACTCAAACAAATTTACAAGAAAAAAACAACCCCATCAAAAAGTGGGCGAAGGACATGAACAGACACTTCTCAAAAGAAGACATTTATGCAGCCAAAAAACACATGAAAAAATGCTCATCATCACTGGCCATCAGAGAAATGCAAATCAAAACCACAATGAGATACCATCTCACACCAGTTAGAATGGCAATCATTAAAAAGTCAGGAAACAACAGGTGCTGGAGAGGATGTGGAGAAATAGGAACACTTTTACACTGTTGGTGGGACTGTAAACTAGTTCAACCATTGTGGAAGTCAGTGTGGCGACTCCTCAGGGATCTAGAACTAGAAATACCATTTGACCCAGCCATCCCATTACTGGGTATATACCCAAAGGGCTATAAATCATGCTGCTATAAAGACACATGCACACGTATGTTTATTGTGGCATTATTCACAATAGCAAAGACTTGGAACCAACCCAAATGTCCAACAATGATAGACTGGATTAAGAAAATGTGGCACATATACACCATGGAATACTATGCAGCCATAAAAAATGATGAGTTCATGTCCTTTGTAGGGACATGGATGAAATTGGAAATCATCATTGTCAGTAAACTATCGCAAGAACAAAAAACCAAACACCGCATATTCTCACTCATAGGTGGGAATTGAGCAATGAGATCACATGGACACAGGAAGGGGAATATCACACTCTGGGGACTGTGGTGGGGTGGGGGGAGGGAGGAGGGATAGCATTGGGAGATATACCTAATGCTAGATGACGAGTTAGTGGGTGCAGCGCACCAGCATGGCACATGTATACATATGTAACTAACCTGCACAATGTGCACATGTACCCTAAAACTTAAAGTATAATAAAAATAAATAAATAAATAAATAAATAAATAATAAGAACTGGCAACAACTAATTCTATAACCAGCAGAACCGTCATCAAAAATAATGAGGGAAAAATAAATTCTCAAATGCAGAAAACAAAAAAGTATTTGTTGCTAGCAGACCTACCCTTAAAAAATGGATAAAATAATTTTTTTTCAAATAATAAAAGAGCGTGTCTTGGAGCCTCAGGAAGGAAGAATCAATAATGGCAGAAGGAGACATGTGAGTGATATGGTTTGTATTGGTATTCCTTCCAAACTCTCAGGTCAAATTGGAGGAGAAACCTGGTGGGAGGTGGTTGGATCACGGGGTGAACTTCCCCCATGCTGTTCTCATGAAAATGAGTGGGTTCCCATGAGATCTGATAGTTTAAAAGTGTGTGGCACTCCCCCCTTCTGTCTGTCTGTCTCTCTCTCACACGCGTGCGCTTTCACTCGCACTCTTGCTCTTGCTCTCGCTCTCTCTCCTGACACCATTGTGAAGAAGGTAGTTGCTTCTCCTTCGCCTTCTGCCATGATGGTAAGTTTCCTGAGCCCTCCCAGTCATGCTTCCTATTAAGCCTGCGGAACTTTGAGTCAATTAAACCTCTTTTCTTCATAAATAATCCAGCCTCAGGTAGCTCTTTATAGCAGTGTGAAAACAGACTAATACACTGAGTAAGAACAATAGTTTTCTAAATAATGTATGATGGTCAAAGTCAAAATTATAAAACCATTTGATATTCAAGATAATAATATATAAAAGTGGGAATGGTAAAAGGACCTAAATATAAACAAGGTTTCCACTCTTTATTTGAAGTAGTAAAATGTTGATCCCAATAAACTGTGATAAGATACATATGTATATTTCAATAGATACAGTTGTTACTAAGAATATAATTCAAAGTGATATTCTTAAAAAACATTGAAGTAAATCAAAATGGAATCTTACTGAATTACACAAAGTGTTTGAATAATTCACAAGAAGGTAAGAAAAGAAAAACAGAGGAATAGGGAACAGTGGACATAAACATTTTTTTAAAAAGGTATATTTATTGCATCTCAATAAGTAATTTCAATGCAAATGGTCTAAATACACTAATTAGAAGACAATGATTAATAGAGTTTATTTTTATACAGTGACCCAACTATACGCTGCATGACAGATGTGGAATTGCAATGGAAAGTATTTATCAAACTTTTAACCAGGTGAAATTAAAACTTCAATGTGTATTTTTCTCCTGTTACAACAGTTGAGACCTCTGGTCTGTTTTCAGTCTTCTGTTTTCTGAGAGTCTTGTTGGAGCCTACATATGTGTGAACAGTTCAGAGTTGGCCAAAGGTTTGTGGAAGGTTTATATGCAGACTTAAAGCCGCCACCTTCTTTAGTTACCTCCTCAGTTTCTAGACACTCTGATAACCTACATTCTTTCTTTGACGCCTCAATCTAAAATTATTGTTATTGCTATTCCTTCCTGAGTTTTTGTGGCCCCATATAATGCAAATCTGAAGAAATACCAGGGAAAATACTTTTGAAACACAGATCTTATCCAGTGATATACCTATTATCAGAGTCACATTCTTTCCAATTTTTCTCTACTCTTGACTCCAATTCGTGAACAGTTTATAATTGTTATATACAGGAAGATTATTCTTATGCAAGCTATTTCACCACTATTACTGGAACTGGGACTTCACCTGGGCACTTTAGAAGTTAACAATGTTTCCTAAAGAAGGTCATCGTATTAATCGTGCTTGTTTTCCCCTTGCATTTTCTGATGCTTTGACATCTTACTGTCCTTGCTGACATTGGAGGAATTGCCCTTCCCTGGAATAGCTAATTCCTAGAGATAAGAAACAACTACCCTGGGAGCACACCTTTCAAATGAACACCAAACAATCCCAAGCCCACACCCCTAACCACCTCCTCTATGGAGCTATCATTCTTTGGGCCATTATTCTCCTTTTTTAATCATCCCAAGGCCAGGTATCAGACAAATAGAGACAACCTCTATACCTCAGAGCCTGCAGATATTATTCATACTTACAAACCTAAATTGGCTGGTCCTGCCTCACTTGTTTCTTCCCATGAAAACCACAATAAAGGCTCTTGTCCATGTTTTCCTCTCATTTCCTCTGCCTCCTGACTAACTTTGGTGCTTCCCTGTGTGATCTTGTGTGGCATGTCTTGCCTCCTGTTTCTAGGGATATTTAGGTATAAAAACTTATTTTATGACAGTCATTTTCATGTCTGCATGTCTTACCATACCTAATTGAAACAAATCTCAAGTACCCTTAAAACAACCATTCAGTAGGGTTTGAGAATTTCCTGAAGTAGTTCTATCTTACATAAGTTTGAGAAACAGATGAACTAAGCCATAAGAAGGAAGTAATGTCTAAGTTAAACCTTGAAGGGCGAGTAGGAGTTAGTTTCATTTAAAAGCCCAGAGAGAAATAACAACAAGTATGAAAAGAAATAGGGTGAGAAAACACAAAGATCTGCAACATTGCTGGAAGATAGTTGTCAAAATTGGGAGCCAGAGAAGAAGGCTCAGATTATGGTACATGTGGTGATGGCCTCATACATATTACTCAGGAGGTTGGGCTTTAACTGGCTTTAAATTGAGAAATGACATGATTAGGATGCATCTAGATCTTTTGCGTTCTTGTCTTTTGTGTTTTTAGTATACAAGTTGCCACCCCACCAGAATCATCAACTAATATTGTTCTTTTTGCCATCCTAAACTTGAAGGAAAGTGGAGTTGTTGCACATGGCTATGATCACAGCATAATCAGTTTTCAAATTGTCAAATGGCACCGCACGAAACATCTTGTTGGATTTTTTTAAAGACTGCATGAAGAGAATTAAAAATGAGCTAAAGAAAATTGACTGAAATCAACTGTAGTTTAGGAAATTCACTATGTTGAAATATGTGCTTTTAAATAACATGTAGGGGGTAAACAATCTATAATCAGTCAAGTAGAATCTGGTTGTCGATATGTAAAAGCAAAGCCAGGATAATCATGGTAAAGACATGTCTGATGGTTAATTTGGAAAGGACAAATGCCTATGACATTGACATTATTGCAGAGAAAACAGAAAAATATTTGGAAGACGAAAGGAAAAAATGAACATTTTGTATTTGTAGTGCAAAGCACGTTGACTGTGGCAGAAACTGGTTTTTGTTTTGTTTTGTTTTGTTTTGTGGGGAGCATGTCACGAAAATATATGCAAAGATTAAACTGCAACAGGTTGGGTCAGTGCAATGCTACATAAACAGTATGAGAGTTTTTGAATTAAACTGGCTCATGCAACAAAATTATGTAATATCATAGAAACAAAATCTGAGTGTATAAGCTCATAGTACTGCAAGGATCCCTGAAACCCATTAATACAAAATCCTGTGTTATTATTCCTCCTCATTGTTCTTTTTACTTATAAAAGCTAATTTCTTTAATTCTTGCCTTTGAGTCTGTTTATTTTCTTAGAATTTGCTATGGGTAATATTAATCTACTAATGAAATCAAAGTTTCCTCCAGGGCAGTAACATTTTCTGTTTTAGATATCAGCATATGCTCAGTGCTTAGTGTAGATTAGGTTTTTCTATATACATATGATATTTGTACAGATGGATGAATGAGCAAATGAAGGAATTTTTACTGAACATTTAAATAAAGAAATCATAATAAACTATTACTTATTTACCATTTACTATGCTTGGGACTTTTTGATTATTGATTATTGTTACATACATTATAATATATAATATTAAATTCACAAACATCTTTTATTTTTTTTTTGAGACGGAGTATCGCTATGTCGCCCAGACTGGAGTGCAGTGGTGTATTCTCGGCTCACTTAACCTCCACCTCCGGGTTCAAGCGATTCTCCTGCCTCAGCCTCTTGAGTACCTGGTATTACAGGTGCAGGCCAACATGCCCAGCTATTTTTTTCGTATTTTTAGTAGAGATAGGGTTTCACTGTGTTAGCCAGGATGGTCTCGATCTCCTGACCTCGTGATCCACCCACCTCAGCCTCCCAAAGTGCTGGGATTACAGGCATGAGCCACCACGCCCAGCATTAAATTCACAAACATCTTAAGACCAATGTTATTCGCATCAATTTTAAATAGAAAATGGATGTCCTGAGTGGGGTAAGCTACTGCCCAAATTGACAGACAACAGCAGATTTGGAATTTAAGCTCATCTAGTCATCTTCCCTAACCAAAATTACCAGTGACAGGTACAATCAGTGGGGAAAGAGACAATTTAAAATGTGGACAGAAAAGGTGTAAATTAACTGTGTGCACTTAGATACACTATTTTACCTCTCTCAATTCAATATCCTCAATATTCAAATGAAGAGAGTCATGATAATTGCCTTAGGGAATTATAAAACTAAATGAGTAGTTCTTGTAAAATTCCTAACACAATGGGTACTAACAAGTAATAATGATAACAATAATCAAATTAATATGTTGTGACTTAGGAATTCACAATTTTTATTCATGCATCTGATTTTCAATAAAAAAGATGAAATTAATATTTATATATATATATTATACTTAAAGTTCTGGGATATATGTACAGAATGTGCAGGTTTGTTACATAGGTATACATGTTCCATGGTGTTTTGCTGCACCCATCAACCCGTCATCTACATTAGGTATTTCTCCTAATGTTATCCCTTCCTTAGCCCCAACCCCATGACAGTGTGTGATGTGTGTGATGTTCCCCTCCCTGTGCCCATATGTTCTCATTGTTCAACTCCCACTTGTGAGTGAGAACATGTGGTGTTTGGTTCTCTGTTCCTGTGTTAGTTTGCTGAGAATGATGGTTTCCAGCTTCATCTATGTCCCTGCAAAGAACATGAACTCATTCTTTTTTATGGCTGCATAGTATTCCATGGTGTACATGTGCCACATTTCCTTTATTCAGTCTAACATTGATTGGCATTTGAGTTGGCCCTTAGCCTTTGCTATTGTGAATAGTGTGCAATAAACATACATGTGTATGTGTCTTTATAGTAGAATGATTTATAATCCTTAAGGTATATATCCAGTAATGGGATTGCTGGGTCAAATGGTATTTCTAGTTCTAGATCCTTGAGGAATTGCCACACTGTCTTCCACAATGATTGAACTAATTTATACTCCCAGCAACAGTGTAAAAGCTTTCCTATTTCTCCACATCCTCTCCAGCATCCATTGTTTGCTGGCTTTTTAATAATTGCCATTCTAACGGGCATGAGATGATATTTCACTGTGGTTTTGATTTGTATTTCTCTAATGACCAGTGATGATGAGCTTTTTTTCATGTTTGTTGGCTGCATAAATGTCTTCTTTTGAAAAGTGTCTGCTCATACCCTTCACCCATTTTTTGATGGGGTTGTTTTTTTTTCTTGTAAATTACCTTAATTACCTTGTAGATTCTGGATATTAGACCTTTGTCAGATGGATAGATTACAAAAATGCTCTCCCGTTCTGTAGGTTGCCTGTACACTCTGATGATAGTTTCTTTTGCTGTGCAGAAGCTCTTTAGTTTAATTAGATCCCATTTGTCAATTTTGGCTTTTGTTGCCATTGCTTTTGGTGTTTTAGTCATGAAGTCTTTGTCCATGACTATGTCCTGAATGGTATTACCTAGGTTTTCTTCTAGGGTTTTTATGGTTTTAGGTTTTACATTTAAATCTTTAATCCATCTTGAGTTAATTTCTGTATAAGATGTAAGGAAAGCATCCGGTTTCAGTTTTCTGCATATGGCTAGCCAGTTTTCCCAGCACCATTTATTGAATAGGGAATCCTTTCCCCATTGCTTGTTTTTCTCAGGTTTGTCAAAGATCAGATGGTTGTAGATGTGTGGTGTTATTTCTGAGGCCTCTGTTCTTTTCCATTGGTCTATATATCTGTTTTGGTACAATACCATGCTGTTTTGGTTACTGTAGCCTTGTAGTATAGTTTGAAGTCAGGTAGTGTGATGCCTCAAGCTTTGTTCTTTTTGCTTAGGATTTTCTTGGCTATATGGGCTCCTTTTTGGTTCCATATGAAATTTAAAGTAGTTTTTTCTAATTCTGTGAAGAATGTCAATGGTAGCTTGATGGGAATAGCATTGAATCCATAAATTACTTTGGGTAATATGGCCATTTTCACGATATTGATTCTTCCTATTCATGAGCATGGAATTGTTTTCCATTTGTTTGTATCCTCTTTTATTTCCTTGAGCAGTGGTTTGTAGGTCTCCTTGAAGAGGTCCTTCATGTCCCTTGTAAGTTGGATTCCTAGGTATTTTATTCTCTTTGTAGCAATTGTGAATGGGAGTTTGCTCATGATTTGACTCTCTGTGTGTCTATTATTGGTGTACAGGAATGCTTGTGATTTTTGCACATTGATTTTTTATTCTGAGACTTTGCTAACGTTGCTTATCAGCTTCAGGAGTTTTGGGGCTGAGACAATGGAGTTTTCTATATATACAATCATGTCACCTGCAAAGAGAGATAATATGACTTCCTCTCTTCCTGTTTGAATGTGCTTTCTTTCTTTCTCTTGCCTGATTGCCCTGGTCAGAAATTTCAATACTATGTTGAATAGGAGTGGTAAGAGAGGGCATTCCTTGTCTTGTGCTGGTTTTCAAAGGGAATGCTTCCAGCTTTTGCCCATTCAGTATGATATTGGCTGTGGGTTTGTCATAAATAGTTTTTATTATTTTGAGATATGGTCAGTTAATACCTAGTTTATTGAGTGTTTTTAGCATGAAGCGATGTTCAGTTTTATTGAAGGCCTTTTCTGCATCTATTGAGATAATCATGTGGTTTTTGTCGTTGGTTCTGTTTATGGGATGGATTACGTTTATTGATTTGCATTTTTTTGAACTAGCCTTGCATCCCAGGGATGAAGCCAATTTGATTGTGGTGGATAAGCTTTTTAATGTGCTGCTCAATTCACTTTGCCAGTATTTTATTGAGGATTTTAGAAGTTCATCAGGGATATTGGCCTGAAATTTTCTTTTTTTGTTGTGTCTCTGCCAGGTTTTGATATCAAGATGATGCTGGCCTCATAAAATGCGTTAGGGAGGAGTCCCTCTTTTTCTATTGTTTGGTATAGTTTCAGAAGGAATGGTGCCTGCTCTTGTTTGTATGTCTGGTAAAATTCGGCTGTGAATCCATCTGGTCTTGGACTTTTTTTGGTTGGTAGGCTATTAATTACTGCCTCAATATCAGAACTTGTTATTGGCCTATTAAGGGTTTCGACTTCTTCCTGATTAGTCTTGGGAGTGTGTATGTGTCCAGGAATTTATCCATTTCTTCTAGATTTTCTAGTTTATTTGGGTAGAGGTGTTTACAGTATTCTCTGATGGTAGTTTGTATTTGGGATCAGTGGTGATCTTCTCTTTATCATTTTTTATTGTGTCCATTTGATTCTTCTCTCTTTTTTTCTTTATTAATCTGTCTAGCAGTCTATCTATTTTGTTAATCTTTTCAAAAAGCCAGTTCCTGGATTCATTGATTTTTGAAGGTTTTTTTGTGTCTCTATCTCCTTTTGTTCTGCTCTGATCTTAGTTATTTCTTGTCTTCTGCTAGCTTTTGGATTTGTTTGCTCTTGGTTCTCTATTTGTTTTAATTGTGATGTTAGGGTGCCAATTTTAGATCTTTCCTGCTTTGTCTGTGGGCAGTTAGTGCTATATATTTCCCTCTAAACACTGCTTTAGCTGTGTCCCAAAGATTTTGGTATGTTGTCTCTTTTTTCTCATTGGTTTCAAAGAACTTATTTATTTCTGCGTTAATTTTGTTATTTACCCAGTAGTCATTCAGGAGGAGGTTGTTCAGGTTCCATGTAGTTGTGCGGTTTTGAGTGAGTTTCTTAATCTTGCATTCTAATTTGATTGCACTGTGGTCTGAAAGACTGTTATGATTTTCTTTCTTTTGCATTTGCTGAGAAGTGTTTTATTTCCAATTATGTAGCCAATTTTAGAATGAGTGCTATGCAGTGCAAAGAAGAATGTATATTCTGTCGATTTAGGGTGGAGAGTTCTGTTAGGTCTGCTTGGTCCAGAGCTGAGTTCAAGTTCTTGTTAAGATCCTTGTTAATTTTCTGTCTCATTGATCTGTCTAATATTGACAGGGGTGTTAAAGTCTCCCACTATTATTGTGTGAGAGTCAAAGTCTCTTTGTAGGTCTCTAAGAACTTGCTTTATGAATCTGGGTGCTCCATTATTGGGTGCATATATATTTAGGTTAGCTCTTCTTGTTACATTGATCCCTTTACCATTATCTAATGCCCTTCTTTGATTTTCATGATCTTTGTTGGTAAAGTCTATTTTATCAGAGACTAGGATTGCAATCCCTGCTTTTTTTTTCTTTTATTTGCTTGATAAACCTTCCTCCATCTCTTCATTTTGAGCCTACATGTGTTTTTGCATGTGAGGTGGGTCTCCTGAATACAGCACACTGATGGATCTTGACTCTATCTAATTTGCTAGTCTGTATCTTTTAATTGGGGCATTTTGCCCATTTACATTTGAGGTTAATATTGTTATGTGTGAATTTGATCCTGTGATTACGATGCTAGCTGGTTATTTTGCCCATTAGTTGATGCAGTTTCTTCATAGTGTCGATGGTCTTTACATTTTTGTATGTTTTTGCAGTGATGGGTACAGTCTTTTCCTTTCCATATTTAGTGCTTCCTTCAGGAGCTCTTGTAAGGCAGGCCTGGTGGTGACAAAATCCCTCAGCATTTGCTTGTCTGTAAAGGATTTTATTTCTCCTTCACTTATGAAGCTTAGTTTGGCTGGATATGAAATTCTGGGTTGAAAACTCTTTTCTTTAAGAATGTTGAATATTGGCCCCCACTCTTTTCTGGCTTGTAGGGTTTCTGCCGAGAGATCTGCTGTTAGTCTGATGGGCTTCCCTTTGAGGGTAACCTGACCTTTCTCTATGGCTGCCCTTAACATTTTTTCCTTCATTTCAACCTTGGTGCATCTGATGACTGTGTGTCTTGGGGTTGCTCTTCTCGAGGAGTATCTTTGTAGTGTTGTCTGTATTTCCTGAATTTGAATGTTGACCTGTCTTGCTAGATTGGGGTAGTTCTCCTGGATAATATTCTGAAGTGTGTTTTCCAACTTGGTTCCATTCTCCCTGTCCCCTTCAGGAACACCAGTCAGACATAAGTTTGGTCTCTTCACATAGTCTCATATCTTTTGGAGGCTTTATTCATTCCTTTTCATTCTTTTCCCTCTTTTCTTGTCTTCATGCTTTATTTTATTAAGTTGATCTTCAATCTCTGACATGCTTTTTTCCACTTAATAGAGCTGGCAATTGATATTTGTGTATGTTTCACAAAGTTCTCATGCTCTGTTTTTCAGCTCCATCAGGTCATTTATGTTCTCTCCAAACTGGTTATTCTAGTTAGCAGTTCCTATAACCTTTTATCAAGGTTCTTAGCTTCCTTGCATTAGATTAGAACATGCTCCTTTAGCTTGGAGGAGTTTGTGATTACCCACTCTCTGAAGCCTACTTCTGTCAACTCGTCAAACTCATTCTCTGTCCGGTTTTTCCCCTTGCTGGTGATGAGTTGTGACCCTTTGGAGGAGAAGAGGCCTTCTGGTTTTTGGTATTTTCTGCCTTTTTATGCTGGTTTTTCCTCACTTTCATGGATTTATCTACCTTTGGTCTTTGCTGTTGATGAGTTTTTCCTTCAGATGGAGTTTTTGCATGGTCATCCTTTTTCTTGATGTTGATGCTATTGCTTTCTGTTTGTTAGTTTTCCTTAGAACAGTCAGGCACTTCTGCAGGTCTCCTGAAGTTTGCTGGGGGTCCATTCCAGACCCTGTTTGCCTGGGTATCACCAGCAGAGGCTGCAGAACAGCAAAAATTGCTGCCTGTTCCTCCCTCTGGAAGCTTCATCCCAGACGGGCACAAAAGGCAAGGCAGAACTCTCCTGTATGAGGTGTCTGTTGACCCCTACTGGGAGGTGTCTCCCAGTCAGGAGGCACAGGGGTCAGGGACCTACTTGAGGAGGCAGTCAGTCCCTTAGCAGAGCTCGAGTGAGCGCTGTTCTGGGAGATCTGCTGCTTTCTTCAGAGCTGGCAGGCCAGAACATTTAAGTCTACTGAAGCTGTGCCCACAGCAACCCCTCCCCAGGTGCTCTGTCCCAGGGAGATGGGAGTTTTATCTATAATCCCCTGACTGGGGCTGCTGCCTTTCTTTCAGAGATGACCTGCCCAGAGAGGGGGAATCTAGAGAGACAGTCTGGCTACAGTGGCTTTGGCAAGCTGTTTGGGCCCTGCCCAGTTCAAACTTCCCAACCTCTGTTTACACTGTGAGGGGGAAAACCGCCTACTCAAGCCTCAGTAATGGTGGACTCCCCTCCCCCCACCAAGCTCAAGTGTCTCAGGTCAACTTCAGACTGCTGTGCTGGCAGTGAGAATTTCAAGCCAGTGGATCTTAGCTTGCTGGGCTCCATGTGGGTGGGATCCACTAAGCAAGACCACTTGGCTCCCTGGTTTCAGCCCCCTTTCCAGGGGAGTAAATGGTTCTATTTTGCTAGTGTTCCAAGTGCCACTGGGGTATGAAAAAACTCCTGCAGCTAGCTCAGAATCTGCCCAAAAGGCCACCCAGTTTTGTGCTTGAAACCCAGGGCCCTTGTGGTCTAGGCACTCAAGGGAATCTCCTGGTCTGTGGGTTGAAAAGACCATGGGAAAAGTGTAGTATATGGGATGGAGTGCACCATTCCTCACAGCACGGTCCCTCATGCCTTCCCTTGGCTAGGGGAGGGAATTCCTTGACCCTTTGTGCTTCCTGGGTGAGGTGACACCCCACCCTGCTTCAGCTCGCCCTCAATGGGCTGCACCCACTGTCTAACCAGTCCCAGTGAGATGAACTGGATACTTCAGTTAAAAATGCAGAAATCACCCACCTTCTGCATTGGTCTCGCTGGGAGCTGTAGACTGGAGCTGTTCCTATGCAGCCATCTTGCCCAGGAATCAAAGTTAATATTAATATTTCTTCTTCACATAACCATAGTCCTCAGTTGTCACCTGACAAAGGAGTAAAATTCAAAACTGTAGCTGATTAGCATGTTGGCTATGCAGGCAAGAATGGCCAAAAGAAAAATAATTCACAGAAAATCCCAACTGTAATGTTCAGTGAGGTTTGAGGACTTTCTACTTTATTGCCAAAGCTGTCAAGGATCACTTGGGTCACCCTTCTACTGATCCCTTGGTCCTTATACGTACATATTTATTTCTCAAGACTAATACTGCCCACCCAAGGAGACTTAACTGCTGTATCAAAATATTTTTTATTTAGATACCATCTGTATTTGAGAAAATCATGAGTAGAAAATTAGCCTTTCAATAGTCCTCAAAGTATCTTAGCTGCTTACAAAAAATATTGTACAAACATATCCTTAAACTAAGTGTTACATCTCAGGGTTTCATCTTTTCCCATGTATAGGCTGGCAAAAATACAACAGCTCCTCAGAAGAGTTTTAGAAATCTGATAAATTCAAAAGCAGATGGAAGGACAGAAGTCATTCCTGTGACTAAATTTCTTTAGGCACACAGATGGGATTAAATACTAAATAAATGTTAACCAACAAGTTTTTAAAATTGATGCATATAGCTAAGAAAAAATAAAAGCTAGTCATCCAAAAGTAATTACTCTCCTTGTTATTTTCAATTATGTGCCAATAAAATGTTAAGCATATGATATGGACTCTTATGGTTATTAATTTGTCGGGTGAGGATGATGGCCTTGATTAATGAGAATGATGACAAACATGGAAAAATAAATATGTGGATGGAATTTCCACTTACATCTAGAATAATTTATTAACTTTAAGATAGTTTGTTAGCAATTAGATAATTTATTAACTTTAAGATAGATTCTCATAGAATCTTTCTATGGGAAAGATTCTATGTGGGTCAGTGGAAGATGAAGTGGGAAGAAAAGGTAAAGAATGGTGTTATTGGGCTGGGTGTGGTGGCTCACACCTGTAATTCCAGTGCTTTGGGAGGCCGAGGCAAGTGGATCACTTGATGTCAGGAGTTTGAGACCAGCCTTGCCAACATGGAGAAACCCTGTCTCTACTAAAAATAATAATAATAATAATATTACAAAAATTAGCCAGGCATGGTGGTGTGTGACTGTAATCCCAGCTACTCAGGAGACTGAGGCAGGAGAATTACTTGAACCTCAGAGGTGAAGGTTGTAGTGAGCCCAGATTGCACCACTGCACTCCAGCTTAGGCAACAGAGTGAGACTCTATCTCAAAATAAAAAAGAAACAATGGTGTTATTTTTTTCAAAGGACACACAATGGTAGAGAAACAGACAAAAAATAATGCTTTTATTCAGAGGGACAATATTTCTCTACTAAATTGAACCTATATATAGCATGAGCCCTCAATAAAAGAACGTGGCTGCTCTACATCTTGTTAGCTGTACAACCATGGGCAAATTAGTTAATCCCTGTAACCCTCTGTCACTTCAGTTGCAAAGTTTGGTTACCCACTTATATAAGATATTTATGAAAAATGAGTAATGCTTATAAACCTACTTAATATGGTGTCTGGTACCTAGAATGCTCTGTCACTGTTAGCTCTGATTGTTATCTAAGGAACAGTGAATGGTCTATAACAGGTGTAGTGATAGCAGGTATGGTAGACTCTGTAAGCTTGAAAAGAAACTCGCAAGAGGCAATAATGCCCAGTTGATCTTCTAGTACTTTCATTTTAACAGACAACAATGACACAGATGTGCACATGTAGTTTTCTTTAGATTTTCTCTTATTCTTGTAGCTTCATTTTCTGAAAACTTTACTACATCATATGGAGTTTTTAATCCAAATGCTCCTATTAACATTTTATAGTGATAGAAGGAATTCCACTGTATTCTATGAAAAGTAAGAGTTACACCCGAAGAGCTGAAAGCTTTAACTGGCATTGATTCTCAGGTTGGCTCTGTTCCTATGTTTGGGCAGACATTAATTTAATCAGAGCTAGAATCTGCCTGCAGCAAAGACTCAGCAGCTTGGGAAATTGAGCCTTCTGCTCCCCTCACTTTTGAATACATCATTTGGAATTGGTGGTATTTACATGAATTTATTGCAGAGACATAGGTTGGATATTGTGTGCAAATTTATGTTTTATAAACATTCACACATTTCCATTTGAATGACATTAAGATTATTAAATGAGAGGTTTTTATACTTTATGCATTACGAGAGTATTCTATACTATGTCAGAATATATGAGGTATGTTTCGATGTGTAAACAGGGTTACTTTAAGAAATGCTACTTAACCATCTCTGAGCCTCAATTTCTTTATCTGTAAGATAGAGATAACAATTATAGAACTATTGAGCATTAAATTATATTGTTCCCATGTTCCAAGTCCAGAATCTGCCACTATGGTTCTTATTTAATAAATGATTGTTTGCATTACTATGTAGTCGAATTCATTGCTTTTTTACCTATGAGGAAACTAAATCTTAGAGGCAGAAAGTAAATTAACTGGGGAATTGGAGTTACCCAGTAGAAGAGCTGGGATTGAAACTCTAGTCTCCCAGTGCCCTCATCAATATTCTTTTTAGTGTGAGAGTAATAATAGCTGAAACTGGAGATAGTGAACTAAGCTTCCGGACAGGAACAAACCAAGCACTGAAACAGGGAGGTGCCAGAAAGAAAGAATTAAAATATAACTACAAATCTGAGTCCCACAGATAATTACTTAGAAGAGTCTACTCTCTCTGAATCACTTTATATCTATTTTATATTGGCTACTTAATATTTCTCATTTTATTCATAGAGTAGTGATGGCATGACATCCTTGTCTCTCTGCTTCTCAGTTGTAACATAGCTACTTGCAAATCAAAATTTTAAAGTTCTCAATTGAAAGATAGACTGTCAGGATAATTTATAGTTTATTTTCTTTCTGTCGTTGTAGTTGTTATTTTGACATAAAAACTTGCAGTAGGCAGAATAATAGTCCGCAGGGATAGCCATGCCCTAATCCTCAGAACCTGCAAACATGTTATGTTACATGGCAAAGGGAAATAAGGGTGTAGAAGGAATTAATGTTGCTAATCCGCTGACCTTCAAATAAAGAATTAACCTAGATTATCGGGATGGGCCCATTGTAATCATAAATGTCCTTAAAAATAAAAAGGGAGGCAAAAACTCCATGAAGACAATATTTCTTCCTGCCTTTGAAGAAATGTAACTAATTGAAGAAATCTAACTAATTCGACAGATATTTCGAATGGCGAGTGAAGGAAGTAAATCCTTTAAGCCTTAACTGTAAGAAAGAATGAAGTAAGGAGAGGGCAGATATTGCCAATTCTCTGGAAGCTGCTGCTGGAAGTGGGGATGTACACCTTCATGTATAGAGGTGTTCCCAGGAGAGCAGGAAGACCTTCATGCAGATAGCCCAGACAGGTACTTAAGGAAATTAGGTTCTAGGCACCAAGCCTCAGCAGATTTCTGTGTTTTAAGTGTGTCTCTCAATCATCTCAGCTTCTGTTTTCAACTCCAGAACAGTGACTAATTTAAGTGGTGTTTGTGTGGAGGTGAAGCACTTGAGTGTTGCCTTACACTAAGGTATTGAATAAGACTAAGGCGTCTTTGCCTATTTGTTGAGAGGTTATGTGTATATGTACGTACATTTGTATGTGCATATGCACAAAACTCACTGAAATTAAAGTTGCCAGCCTGGAGGGAAGAAACCTTAGAGTTACAGTTCAACCACTTACAATGAAATTTTTAAAATATGACTTTATTTTTGCTTACTTGACTTTGCATTTACAAATACCCTATATAGTTAAAGAATAGAATAAAATAAGATGAAGAAATGGTGCTACAGAGCTACATATCTGAGCTCCCAAGATGAATACACTACGTACACACAGTGAATACAGATAGATAAAAATAAAATTTCACCCCTCTTTTGGCAGAGTAAGTTGGAAAGAATTGAGGCAGACATATATTTCCTTTTATCTCATATCCCACCTAGATTTTTGTGAAAATTATTTCCTTCTCAATTAAGTTATATGTTATCTTCTTTCCCTCAGTTCCTGAAAACATGTTCCCCTGTGATTCCTAGTACTCAGCCATGCCCTGTTCTACCTCTATTCCGGAAATGACTCTACCCTTTCTTTTCGAATAAGTTAAAGAGGGGATGTTGGTGACTTGGGATAAGAGATTTTTTTTTAATGTATCCAGAAAGTTTTTAGTTTACAAATAAAGTACTTTTGTAATAGGTTGAAATATAATTGAGTATGAATATTAATTTTACCAATTACTGGCTGATTGGTCTTACCTTACTCTTTCAGTATTTATTTTCTCCTTATATAATCTGAAATACTTTGTTTAATAGCACCATCTGACATGCATTTTTCAAATAATCAACTTATTTACTTCTTTCTTGCCTGTCTCTGCCCACAATAGTGAAAACTATGGTGGCAGCAATTTTTCTTTTTTGTGTTTATGTATAATACTGCACTCTCCTCCTCCCACCCAGTTTTAGAAGAGTACCTACCAAGAGGAGGTACACAATTAATATTCGTTTCTTAAATTAGTAATGTCCCAACTCACACTTATATTATCAGTAAAATGCAGCTACTGAAACGTGTTTCATGAGTTAATTGTAAATACAAAAAAAAAAAAATTAGCCTGGTGTGGTGGTGGGTGCCTGTAATCCCAGCTACTCGGGAGGCTGAGGCAGGGAGAATTGCTTGAACCCAGGAGATGGAGGTTGCAGTGAGCAGAGATTGCACCACTGCACTCTAGCCCGGGAGACAGAGTAAGACTCCATCTCAAAAAAAAAAAAAAAAAAGAAAAGGAGGAAAATTAAAATGTGTAATGAATATAAAGTAATGAATATAGTGCCTTTTGTGTTCAATATTGATACATAGTAATCATAATATTGATACATAATAGTCTTAATTTTTTTTCAAATAAAATAGCCAGTGTCAGTGCTCTAATACAGGTACAAAATAGGTTAGAGTAATTTTACAGGGAAAGGGGATGGAGCATAGAGCAGAGGATTTGATTTTGGAGGAAAGGACGGCATAAGCTTATGTACACAACAGAACTGTTGGGTCTAATAGTCTTTTCTGCGAGGATCCAAATGTTCTGTGTGCTGTCCAATATGGTAGCTGGTACCCACATATGGTGATAAAGCCCTTCAAATAAGAGTAGTGCAACTAAGGAATTACATTTTTATTTTTTTTAGTTAATTAATTAACATTTAAATTTAAACAGCCCCATGTGGTTGGTGGCTACACTATGACAGAGCATGTCTTGAGCAGTGGTTCACAAAATTAAATGGGTTTAAGGAAGACTTACCTGGAAGCACTTATTACAATGCAAATTTTCAAGCTTTACCTTGGAAGTTCTTTTGTGTTAGACCTGGAGGTGAAGCCTAGGACTCAGCAGTTTGAGGAATCCATTTTGGGTTACTGAAGGAGGAGCTCCACGACCTGCACTTTGGTCCTGTCTTTGCGCCAATTCCTGGAGGTCTCTTTCTGTCATTCTGTCTTTGCTTGTGAAGTGTCTCCCTATCTTTAAATTCCATTCACTTTCAGTCTTATCTGTGGCTTTTCCCAATAGTCCAGAAATAAAATCTTATTTAGGAAGTAGAGCTGCTGCTTTTATTCCATTTGATGTTATTTTTTCAAGTGTGCTGATTTATAATTCCATTATCGTTATCATCTCTAAATTTAATCCTTCTTATACTTTCAGAAAGTCAAAACCTTATTGTAAGTAGGATGGGAAATTCTGGTGGTTGCACAATTATATCTAGGATAAATTTAGTAATGCCCATTTTGCAAATTTTTAAATATGTCCAAAGACTCTTCTGAAGAAGATTGAATTTTGGAAACCAAGGGGAAAACCAAGGGGAACTTTGCAATTCTTATGATAAAACTGATAAACAAAAAACTCAGGACCAAGAGCTTATCACTATTGTTCCCTTTCCTCCATGTGCTGAGTTTTTGGAGGTCAAAGCCAAGATGGTCATGTTCAAAAGCTGGTGATGATTAAGATTTATTGACAACCCCATATTCTGAGAAGGATTATATTTCTGAAACTTCATGGGTATAAAAGCTGTTTCTGTCCTTTCCCTGCTATAGTTGCAACAGTTGGGATACATAGGTACATCAGTTACTATGCTTTTGGCTGGAAGAAAAAAAATACCTGAAAAAGCATGAACATGGCTTAGATAATAAAGTAGCAAAGATGGTTATTCACAAATTAAGAAATCTGGAGAGAGGCTATTGCGGCATTGGTTCAATGGCTCAATAATGCCATCACTGTTCCAACTTTTTCTGCTTTTGGTTCTGTTATAGCTTGCATATTTGTTTTCCATTTTCAATCTTGTAAACTTGTGACAAGATGGTTGTCACAGATTTATACCCATCATTCCCAAAGACACAAAGGAAGAAGGTGGGATACTTCTTGGAGCTATCTCTTTATCAGGGAGGGAAATTTTTTCATATGTGAAAAAAAAGACATTTTTGCATATCTTATTGCCCAGAATTTTGATCCCTCATGGCTCTTAGCAGCAAAAAAGGCTTGGAAAGCAAGGATCCAACATTTTCAGTCTCTATGGTAGGGATTGGTCTCTGCCAGAAAGGAAGAAAGATAAAGAAAAATGTGTGTTGTTAGGCAAAAAATTTCTGCCAGAAGAGAATATGGACTTGCTATGGGTGGATTAAAATTTTATAGAAATTTAGAGGATGTTTATGAAGACATTTCCATCTTGAAATTAGTATAGAAGACTTTCTACCCAGTGGATGTCATCTGGGAAATTCTTCCCTTCCTCAGAGTGTAGAGAAAATGAAACAATCACTAGACAAGAGGAGTGAGCAATAAGACAGAAAAAGAATCCTGAACTTAAATAAAACAAGGCTCTAACATTTTGACCAGAACAGAATTTGGGGATGGAGTATAGAATAAATTCTTTATAGCTCTCAGTCTTATATTGAACTGCCATTGAATAAGATAAACAGTCTACCAGTGCGTGATGCAGAGAAACTCAGCGTTTGAATCAAAGCAGGCAATGTTATTGCTTTCCAAGGCAGTGGTTTAACTAGACTGAGAGTACTATATCTGGTATTTGTCACTGTTTCTTACATGGGGTATAATTTCTCTTGAAGGACTATTGCACTGAGTCACTTAATGATACCAAGCTTCTAAGATTTAAGATGTAAAGGAAGAATGTTAAAAGTTGTGCATTTGTTCACTGGGAGGTAAAAGGGAGTTTAAATTCTTATTTAGCCTTTGTAATTTCCATCACTGGCAAAGATGATTTCTCTCCCTCATTTTTTCTCTTTATACAGTACCAGTCCATATTCTGCTGCTACCTCCCTCGTTGACCACTTTGACTTCATTCAGCATTTTATGCGAGAGGCACAAGGAAAACAAGGAATCAGTGCTGCTCTATGAATCATTTGTCAAAGGGAGATTTAAATGCATGTTCCTTACCTGCCTAGAGGAAAATACAGTAAATGCATTTTGAGGTAGAGAGAGAAAGTTATGTGTTCTTAATAACCAGCATATTTATTATGCCCTAAATAGGAAATTGTGTATTTGCAGGTTGACAACTACAGCTGAATAGAATGATCAGCTTTGTCCACAGGCAAAATTACGAGGTGTGTAAGTGTGTGGTTCATCAATAGAATTAGTATAACAAGGCAGACCTAGATTAATTTCCTGGCTCTGCTACTTGCTAACTGTGACAACTTAAGAAAGGTACATAACCACTCTGAGCTTCAGTTTCCTCATTTGTAAACTGGGGATAATAATAGTGCCCATTAATTTATGCTACAACAATATTAAATGAGATAATGTTTCTAAATTGTTGATTTAGGACCTGATATAGAGAAAGTATTTAATACGTATTAGCTACAATCATGACGGTGATAATGCCAACAAAATCCAGGTAGGTAGGTAGTAGATATCTAAGCAGCACTTTTCAGATAAGAGGACTGAAATGTTCATGAGTGTACAAATATAATAAATAAAAGAGTAAAGGCCAGGCGCTGTGGCTCACGCCCGTAATCCCGGCACTTTGGGAGGCCGAGGTGGTCGGATCACAAGGTCAGGATATGGAGACCATCCTGGCCAACATGGTGAAACCCCGTCTCTACTAAAAACACAAAAATTAGCCGGGCGCGGTGATGCGTACCTGTAGTCCCAGCCTACTCAGGAGGCTGAGGCAGGAGAATCACTTGAACCCAGGAGGCGGAGGTTGCAGTGAGCCGAGATCACGCCACTGCACTCCAGCCTGGGTGACAGCACGAGACTCCATCAAAAAAATAAAAAAAATAAAAAAATAAAAGGGTAAATACATTAAAAATGAATTGTTAGATGTATAATTATTGAAAACTTGGTTTGAAAGGACAAAAAGCCTACAAGATCAGTCTTTACACAGCAGGGCTAAATTCTTCCCTGCGTTTTGGCAGAATTCATTGTCCCCCCATAAGTAATGCTATACTAGTCATATATTAATCATTTAGCATTAGCGGTTAAGAGAATACACTATTGCCTCACGAATCCAGGTGGTCCGTACCAATCTCAACATTAAGTAGGTTTTTGACCTTGGCTGTTTAAATTCTGTGAGTAAGATTTTCTTTTGTAAACCAGGAACAGTTACAATAGCTATTCCATAGCATTGCTTTTGAGGATTACATAAACATTTTGTGAAAAGCACCTTAGAACAGTGCATCACATACAGTAAATATTCAATGAAATTTATGTATTATTACAGGAGGAAAGAAAGAAAATTCTATCAATTATAGGAGGAGAGGCAGACTGGACCCCAACATATTGTAGCTTGGAATGGACCTTCAACTCAAATCAGCTGGGAATAAAACATAATATTATTCTGCATATATTAGCATTTGGTGCCAAGAATAATAGTGACTTAAATAAAATGGAGACTTTTTTTTTTTTCTCTGAAGATGTCTAGAGCAGAACGTTTCAGGAAGAAAGAAGCTTAAAGGGAATTTCCTCTCAAGCTTAGAGGACAGAACTGATTCTTACATAACACAATTATTGAGACTTGACACTTTTTAAGCACAGAAATTGCTTGGTAAAGCTTTATTATCTCATTTTTCAAGTGACATTTTGAATGTTCAATAGTCACATGAGACTAATAACTACCTTAATGGAGAGTATAGGTGTATAAAACGTATATAACCGCAGAAAGTCTATAGTGCTGCTATAGACTTCCTTAGGACTATCCTCCTCCCACCTTCGGAGGCACACAGTCCTTCCATCCGTATTTACTGTATTCTTGTTACTTTTTATTTCTGTGGGTACATAGTAGGTGTATATATTTATGGGGTTAATGAGATATTTTCATACAGGCATGCAATGTGTAACAATCATATCTTGTAAAATGGGATATCCATACCCTCAAGCATTTATCTTTTGTGTTACAAACCATCCAATTATACTTTTTTAGCTATTTTAAAATGTACAATTAAATTTTTATCGACTATAGTCCCCCTGTTGTGCTGTAAAATACTAGATCTTTTTCATTGATTCAAATTATTTTTTTTGTACCCATTGACCATCATCACCTCTCCTCCAACCCCTACTTCCACCCCTTAATACCATTCCTAGCCTCTGGTAACCATCCTTCTAATCTCTATCTCCATGTGTTCAATTGTTTTGATTTTTACATCCCCAAAATAAGTGAGAACATGTAATGTTTGAATTTCTGTGCCTGGCTTATTTGACTTAACATAATGACTTCCAGTTCCATCCATGTTGTTGCAAATGACAGAATCTCATTCTTTTTTTAATGGCTGAATAGTACTTCATTGTGTATAAGTACCACATTTTCTTTATCCATTCATCTGTTAATGAACACCTAGGTTGCTTCCAAATCTTGGCTATTGTGAGCAGTGCTGCAACAAACATGTAAGTGCAAATATCTCTTAGATACCTGATTTCTCTAATTTTGAAGATACACCCAACACTGAGATTGCTGGATCATATAGGAGCTCTATTTTAAGTTTTTTTTAGGAACCTCCAAACTGTTCTCCATAGAGGTTGTACTAATTTACATTCCCACAAACAGTGTAAGAGAGTTCCCTTTTCTCCACATCCTCACCAGCATTTGTTATTGCCTCTCTTTTGGATATAAGCCATTTTAACTAGGGTGAGATGATGTCTTATGGTAGTTTTGATTTGCATTTCTTTGATGATCAGCAATGTTGGGTACCTTTTAATTTACCTCTTTGCTATTTGCATGTCTTTGAGAAATGCCTATCCAAATCTTTTGCCTATTTGTTGATCATATTATTAGATTTTTTTTCCTATGGAGTTGTTTGAGCTTCTTATATATTCTGGTTATTAATATCTTGCCCATGGATAGTTTGCAAATACTTTCTCCCACTCTGTGGGTTGTCTCTTCACTTTGTTGATTGTATTCTTTGCTGTGCAGAAGATTTTTAACTTGATATGATCCCATTTGTCTATCTTTGCTTGGGTTGCCTGTGTTTGTGGGGTATTACTCAAGAAATTTTTGCCCAGAACAATGTCCTGGAGACTTTCCCCAATTTTTTCTTGTAGTAGTTTCAGAGTTTGAGGTCTTAGATTTAATTCTTTAATCCATTTTTATTTGATTTTTGTATATGGTGAAAGATAGGGGTCTAGTTTCATTCTTCTCCATGTGGATATCTAATTTTCCCTGCACCATTTGTTGAAGAGACTGTTTTTTCCCCCAGTGTATGTTCTTGGCATCTTTGCAGAAATGAGTTTGCTGTAGGTGTGTGGATTTGTTTCTGGGTTCTCTATTCTGTTCATTGGTCTATGTGTCTCTTTTTATGCCAGTGCTGTGCTGTTTTGGTTCCTACAGCTCCTTAGTATAATTTGAAGCCAGGTAATGTAATTCCTCCAGTTTTGCTCTTTTTGCTCAGGATAGCTTTGGATATTCTGGGTCTTCTGTGATTCCGTAAATTTTAGAATTGATTTTTCTATTTATGTGAAAAATATCATTCATATTTTGATAGAAATTGCATTGAATCTGTAGATTACTTTGGGATATACAATTTTAACAATATTGATTTTTCCAATCCATAAACATGAAACATATATTCATTTTTTTATGTTCTTTGCAATTTCTTTCATCAGCGTTTTATAGGTTTACTTGTAGAGCTCCTCAACTTTCTTGGTTAATTCTTAGGTATTTAATTTTATCTGTTGCTATTGTAATTGGGATTACTTTTCAATTTCTTTTTCCAATTCTTCACTCTTGGCATATAGAAATGTGACTGATTTTTATATGTTGATCTTGTATCCTGCAATGTTACTAAATTTCTCAGTTCTAATATTTTTTTTTGCTGGAATCTTTAGGTTTTTCCAAATATAAGATCATATCGTCTGCAAATAAGAATAATTTGACTTATTCCTTTCCAACTTGGAGGCTCTATATTTTTTTCTCTTGTCTGATTGCTCTAGGTTTTCCAGTACTACGTGAAATAACGGTGGTAAAAGTGGACACACTTGTTGTGTTCCAGATCTTAGAGGAAAGGCTTTCAGTTTTCCACATTCAGTATGATACTAGCTGTGGGTCTGTTGTATACAGCTTTTATTATGTGGAGGTATGTTTCATCTATACTCAGTTTTTTTGTTGTTATTTTTTGTTTTTTGAGACGAAGTCTCACTCTGTTGCCCGGACTGGAGTGCAGTGGCACGATCTCGGCTCACCACAACCTGCCCCCTGGGTTCATGCGATTCTTCTGCCTCAGCCTCCCAAGTAGCTGGAACTAGAGGCACGTGCCACTATGCCTGGCTAATTTTTGTATTTTTAGTAGAGATGGGGTTTCATTATGTTGATCAAGCTGGTCTCGAACTCCTTACCTTGTGATCCACTCACCTCAGCCTCCCAAAGTCCTGGGATTACAGGCGTGAGCCAACACGCTCAGCCAATACCCAGTTTTTTGAGGGTTTTTTATCATGAAGAGATGTTGAATTTTATCATATGCTTTTTTACCATCACTTGAAATGATGATATGGTTTTTGTGAACAATCTGAAAAAGAAATTTGAAAAGTAATCCCATTTATAATAGCCACACATAAACTTTGTTTTCTGGTTGTTTTGTGGTCTACTCTTCCTTCTTTTCTTCTTTACTGTCTTCCTTTTAGTAAAAGTGATTTTCTCTGATTGTATGATTTAATTTCTTTCTTTTGTGTCTGTGTATCCATTGTATGTTTTTCAATTTGAGGTTACCATGAGGCATGCAAATACTATCTTAGAACCTGTTATTTTAAACTGATGACAACTTAACACTGATTGCATAAACAAACACATAAAAAGAAAATTAATACAAACTCTACACTTTAACTATATTCTCCTACTTTTTAACCTTTTGTTGTTTCTCTTCATGCCTTATTACACTATGTCTTGGAAAGTCAGTGTAGTTACTATTTTTGATTGGTTCATTTTTAATCTTTCTACTTGAGTAGTTTACAACCAATGATTAAAGTGATATAAATTCTGTATTTTTCTGTTTACTTACTATTACCAGTGAGTTTTGTACCTTCAGAGGAATCCTTGTTCCTCATTAACATTCTTTTTATCCAAATTGAAGAATTCACATCAGCATTTCTTCTAGGAGAGGCCTGGTGTTGATAAAATTCATCAGCTTTTATTTGTCTAGGAAAGTGTTTATTTCTCCTTTATGTTTGAAGGATATTTTCACTGGATATACCATTTTAGAATAAAAGTTTTTTCCTTCAGCACTTTTAATATGGCATGACACACTCTCCTTTTCCACTGAAAAGTCTGCTGCCAGAAATATTGGAACTCCATTGCATGTTACTTCTTTCATTTATCTTGCTGCTCTTAGGATCCTTTCTTTATCCTTGACCTCTGGGAATTTGATTATTAAATGCCTTGAGGTAGTCTTCCTCAGATGAAATCTGCTTGGTGTTTTATAACATTCTTGTATTTCAATGTTGATATTTTTCTCTGGGTTTAGCAAGTTCTCTGATATTATCCCTTTGAATAAACTTTCTACCCCTATACCTTTCTCCGCCTCCTCTTTAAGGCCAATAACTCTTAGATTTGCTCTTTTGAGTCTATTTTCCAGATCTTGTAGGTGTGCTTTCTTGTTTTTTATTCTTTGTTCTTTTGTCTCCTTTCACTGTGTATTTTCAAATAGCCTATCTTCAAGCTCACTCGTTCTTTCTTCTATTTGATCAGTTCTGATATTAAATGACTCTGATGTGTTATGCAGCAGGTCAGTTGCATTTTTCAACTCAAGAATTTCTGCTTAATTCTTCTATCTCTATTAAATTTATATAACAGAATTCTGAATTTTAAATTTATATATCTTTTAATCTCTTTATCAAATTTATATAACAGAATTCTGAATTTTCTCTGTGTTATCTTGATTTTCTTTGTTTCCTCAAAACAGCTATTTTGAATGCTCTGTCTGACAGGTCACATGTTGTCTATTTCTTCAACATTGGTCCCTGGAGGCTTATTTAGTTCATTCGGTGAGGTCATGTTTTCCTGGGTGTCGATACTTGTGTATGTTCTTTGCTGTCTTAGCATTGAAGAGTTAGGTATTAATTGCACTCTTCACAGTCTGGTTTTGTTTGTGCCCTTCCTTCTTGACAAGGATTTCCAAGTATTCAAAGGGACTTGGGTTTTTGCAGACTCGTAGATGCACTGCCTTGGTGGTCTTGAATAGGATCTGGTTCCCCAGGAAGAGATTTCTTGTTATTTTCCCTTGCTTTTTCCCAAACAAAGGGACTCTCTCTTTGTGCTGAACCTCCTGGAACTGGGGGTGTGGTGTTGCAAGTACTCTTGTTTCCATGACCACAGGAACTGTGCTGGGTTGGAACAAAAGCCATAACAGCACTGGGTTTTGCCCAAGGCCCACTGCACTGTAACTGCTACCTGGCTACCACTTATGTTCACTCAAGCCTGTAAGGCTCTGCAATCTGCAGGTGATAAAGCCAGCTAGGTTTGCATCCTTCCCTTCAGTGTAGCAAGTTGCCCTGGGCCCTGGGGGAGTCTAGAGATGCTATCTGGGAGCCAGAAATTTGAGTCAATAATCTTAGAAACTCAACTGATGTTTGATTTCATTTCAGCTATGTTGGCACTCTAACCACAATATAAAGTCCTTCCCACTCTTCCCCCCGCCTTCTATAGTCACGGGAGCCTCTCCCTGTGGGCACTACCACAACCAGCTCACAAGGGCATTCTTCCAGTCCATCACCAATATTCACTTAAAGCCCAAGGACTCTTCCATCAGTCTGTGGTGAATGCTGCCTGGCCTGGGACTCACTCTTCAGGACAGTGGGCTAGACTCTGTCCCAGGGCAGGTCCAGAACATGCTGTCCAAGAGCCTTGGCCTGGATTCGGGGACCCTAAGTGCCTGCTTGTTTTTTTACTGCACTGTGGATGAGCTGGTACCTAAGGAGCAAGAGAAAGTCCCTCTTAATTTCCCCTTTGCTTTTTTTCAATAGAAGTCCTTCACTGTAGCCACCACAACTAGGAATGTGCTGGGTCACATCTGATTTCAGCACGTTTTAGAACCCAAGGCCCATGGCATACTACCTGAGCTTTGCTGTTGGTTATTCAGGGTCCAAGGGCCCTTTGGTTAGCAGGTGATGAGTCCTTCCAGGACCGAGTCCTCTCCTTCAAGGTAGCAGTTTCCCTTTTGGCCCAGGGTGTGTCTGGAAATACCATTTGGAAGCTGGGTCCTGGAATGGTGGTTTTATAACTCCGCCTGATGCCATATTCTACTCTGGCTAAGCAGGTATTCAAGATGCAAGGCAAAGTCCTCTTTATGCTTTGCTCTCCATCCCTTAAGCAGAAGGAAGGAGACACTTTCATTACTGCAAGCCGCACTGCCTGGGCTTGGTGGTGAGATGGTACAAGCACTCCTTTAGCCAGCCCACCTATCGTCTCCCTAGGTCACATGCCACTCTAGTCCTCTGGCTCTGAGCCCAGCCCAGCAGTAGGAGTTGCCTAGGAACTGCAGTCCTTGTGTCCTATACTGCCTTTCAAATTTACCTAGAACCCCAGAGCACTTTGGCCCATGGTGGCAAGGCTTGTGGAGAAACTTGACTTTCAACCATTGGGATGGGCAATTCCTCTTTGGCTAGGTCCAAATGCTCCTTCCCTGTGTGGAAACTGGCTAAGCCCAGCACCACATTACCTTCTGCTATGACAGGGCAGCACTGAGTTCAATGTAATCTTCCCCTATCACTGCACTCTCCCTCCCCTAAATGCACAGACTCTCCCCGCTGCACTGAGCTGCCAGGAGATGGCGAGGGGTGGTACTGGCAAATCAAGACTGTCTGTCCTGCTCTCCTCAATGCCTTTTACCAAGGTATGATGTTAAAATGGGGTACTGTGATTGCTCACCTGATTTTTGGTTCTTCTGATGGTGCTTTTCTGTGTACAGATAATTGTTAAAATTTGGTATTCCCATGAAGGGTATAATTGGTTTGGGCTTCTGTTCCACCCTTTTGCTCTGCCCTCTTCACTACCATATTCTTGCCTGATCTTTAATCTACAAAACGTTTCTGTTCATATTTAATGTAAAACAAGTTCACACAGAGGACTCAACCTAATGCCCTCTTACATAACAATTTTGAATTTGGGAACTGTTTGTAGTGGTGGGCTTTTATATTTTTTACTCTTATGAAATTGTTTGGTTCAACAAATTATACTCTGTAGGGTCCCATTACTGGTTCTCCCTCTTATGCAATGATATGAGCTGTAGATCCAGCAGAAGTCAGTTCCCTCTGTTATTTGCCCTGTTTCATAATCATATTCATGGTCTATCCACACATTGCACAATCAATGCACATCTCTCCAGGAAGCTTTTTTTTTTTTTTTAAACTGAAAATCATGTTTCACCTCCCTGACACCACTACAACCTGAAACTCTTACATGGCTTCCTATTTTTTCTTAGAATATGGCCAATAACATCTAACATATATTTAAAGTTTCTCTTTGTGTCTGATGCTCTTCCATTTGGTTGCAGAAGTTACTTTTTAAATCCTCAAAACAGTCATGTGAGGCAGTTATTATTGTCACCTGCCTCCACTGTGGCACATGATATAGATGAGAAAACAGAGTTAGGGAGAGGTGATATAACTCTCTCAAGATCACACAGTCAATAAGTGACAGAGTTGGTATTGAAAAGTAAGTAGACTGAAACCAACAAAAAGCAATCAGATTATCATATTTGGATTGCCTCACTTAGCAACTAGAATATGTCAGCCCCTATATAGATGCCCTTGAGGGAACAGCCTTAGAAGAGACTGAAAGTTAGATTCCTGCAGCTAACCAGTTAGAAGGAGAGACTAAACCAGAATACACACATCTTGTCTTATTGTTCTCTTCCCTATACCATCCTGTTATTTATCCTGTGCAGGCATTACATTATAAAGTGGTAAAATAAGCAGAAGAATAATACAAAAAGTATTTATTTACAACCGGTTATGTATCATACTCTCTTCTGGACACTAAGGAAAAGTTTCAAACCTTACAAATTACAGATCCAAATGTTATAATGTATTGCCAAGTAATGGAATCCCAGTTGACCATACTCTCAATTGACTGAGACCTTCTTATACATAGTTGCATTTTGCATAAACAAAAATTTCATTCTATCACAAATCCCATTGCATGAAGCCCATTTTCCTTTAAGTGTTATTTGCTCAGACTGCAGCAGCCTGGCATCATACAGGCAAGCATAATGCCTCCATTAACTATTGTGCCCAAAGTTTCATAGTTGTGGCATAACAGGCTTTAGAATTTATAGAACAACTATAGAATTATAGAACAATCAAGGCTTTATAGAACTGCCATAACTGCTAGCTTCAACACCACAGGTAGGATTTTAGGAAATGCTCGTGCTACTATTGCAAATGTTTTTAACAGTATTTTGTTGTTTTATTTGTTTGGTTGGTTGGCTGATTTTGTCCAATTTTGAGCAAAGTTTGCTCCCTTTGTTTTCCACTCCTGTATAACATTGACAACTATCTAAACATCTTTGCATCTATAAAAGTGTTTAGGACATGCCAGTTGCTTTAACAAACGTACGTCATGTGATCCTCATAATAATCCTCAATTGTAAGATGAAAAAAAATTGAGGCTCAGCATGATGAAATAACTTGCTCAAGGTAAAACAGCAAATAATGAAACAAACTATTGAATCCTATTTTGTTGACCTGCAAACTTATATCAAAAACAATTCTATTCTGACCTCTTCAGCCAGGCTCTCCCTTTCCAAGTTATTTTCTTTTTCTTGGAGCTGTGTGGGACAGTAAAAGTAATGCCCACGATGTTGGTATTTGGGTGTCATGAAGATTATATGTCTTTTAGCTCCCTCCATCCATTATAAATTAAACTAATCATTCTAATTTTTGCCTAGAATAAAATGAGGTACCCGATGGTCAGGTGAAAAGTCCAAGTTCAGTTTTCAGGTTCCCACTCTTCTTTGTTTGGTGGGGGTGAGGGGTACTCTCACTTGTTTTCTTTTTTCCTTTGATTAACAACTTTCTGTTTATACATTATTCTTTATTAGTCTCTTCCCTCCCACCATTGCTGTCTCTTCTGCATTCTCATTTTCTTTCCAAAACTTATTAATGTGATTTAGAAAAAAGTCACAGGATGTCTGTTTCAGATCAAATACTAGCCCTGCCACTTAATGGAATTCAATAGGATTATGCAGCATTTTAACCTTGATTCTGTTTCCTCACCTATAAAATTCAATAGGTATTCTCAAAGATCCTTCCCAGAACTTCTATTTTATAATGTTGATGATATTTCTTTCAGACACTCTAGACATTTATAAAATTTTATTCTATAGATTCTGTCCTGATGTGCCCACCTTTCCTGACTGCTGTACCTAACCTTAAGTTCCTAATTTTTTATCTACCAATGGCAAGTCATTAAACATTTGAAATGGAAATACACATCTTGTTTTATTGCATTTCAGTTCTCCATCTGGCTTTTGCAATTGGAATTTAGTGGCAAATGTGATTTTGAGCTTTGGGGGGCTATATGTGAGTAAGAAATACTGATGCCATCAGCCCTTGTATCTATACAACTCTGAACTTTGTAGTCTATATCATTTGCTGGGAAACAGATGGGAAAGGAAATAATTCTGAAATGCCCTCAGCATGAGAGAGAGAGAGAAGGAGAAAGAAAAAGAGAAAGAGAACCACACAAACATTTGTACAATTACCAGTGTGAAAAAAAAATACTTTATTTGGAGAAAGATAGTCTTTGCCTTTTGAGGAAAACTCAGTGTTGCATTATATAGTAGAGCATTTGATAACTCTAGAAATCATTGAGGGGGAAACTGGTTTAAAGTTAAGGAATGAAGGAGGAGATTAGAAGGATCGCAGTGGGAGGTATGAAAAAATGCTTTTTCTTTTAATTATTCTGGTGACCCAAATCAATATTCCATAGACATTGGTTCTATTTCACAATTTTAGTCTGGGAAAGCCTTTCTAGGATGATAGGAGAGGCCTGAAGTTGGTCACTGAGGTAGAAATCTCCAAAAAGTCAAAGTATAAAATGGAAAGAGGCATGGAACACTGGCTTTGTCACTGGCCAATGCAACTATGTGGTAAGAGGCAGTCCAACAATTGCAATTAGTTGCAGCAATACTTTTGGTTTTTGTTTTTGTTTTGGTCTGCTCTTGCTGTGTAGTCAACTATCCTCAAAATAGATATCACAAAACAATTATTTATAATCATTCCTGGGTTTGTAGGTTAAGTGGCGGTTTCTAATCTAGTCTGGACTTGATTGGGCATCTGTGCTGTGAGCTGTGGGGTGGGCTGGGCCCAGCTCCCCACTGCATGATGGACGAAGATTTTTTCCAAGTTTTAGGACTTCAATGGAACATCAGGCTAGCCAGAGCATGTTCTTATTCTACCAATGTCAGTAGCACATGGGAAAAAAAATAAGATATGTAAAACTTCTTGAGGTTTTGAGGTCTAGGCTTATACATGGCATAAAATCAGTTCCTGCCGTATCCCATCAGGCAAAGTAATCACAGGATTTTCCAGATATCCATAGCTGTGAAAAAAAAATGTAATGGCATAAAAAAAAAAAAAGAAAAAACAACTACTTTACTGTCCTCTCAGATTCTGTTGTCTAAGCATTTAGGGAGGACATAGTATGGATATCTCTTCTCTAGTCTATGATGTCTGATCTTCACCTGAGATGACTCAAAAGACTTGAATAGTTGGATAGGAGATCTTCCAAGATGATATATTTACTCATATGCCTGGTGAGTTGGTCTGGCTATAAAACAGACTCAGCAAGAAATGCTGAACAGGGTATCTAAACATGGCCTTTCTGACCTCAGAGTTGTTGGGTTTCTCACATGGTGACTCAGGGCTCTTCAAACAAGTGTGTCAAGAAACCAGATAGGACCTGCATGACATCTACCAACCTAATCTCAGAAGCTACCCAATGTGTCTTATGTTATATTTATTAGCTCCAAGCTAATCACGAAGGCCAACTGAGATTCCAGGGGAAAAGTATTCACTTCCACTTGTTGAGGAGAGTTTCAGAGATTTGTGGTTCATTGACACCACTATTCACGGCTAAGCCCAAACTCAAGTTTCAAAGTGTGTTCTTCCTCTAGAGAAAAGGATTGCGCAGTAATTTGGCATAAACCATTGTCACAGGGAATTGAGAAGTGCTAGATAATAAATTAATAGCCATAAGAAATAGGTGGAAACTTTTTAGTGATCATAGAGATTTTACCCAGGTGACTAATTTTTTCACACTTGGGGAGTATGGAAAATACAAATGGCTCTCAAGGAAGAGGACATCTCAAGGTCACTCCATGGAATCAAGATTTATACCATAAACACTTGAGATTAAGTTCAAGCAGTTGCATTGGTAGGTAAGATGCCTGAGACATAAGAAGCTCAGTCATGAAAATTAAGCCCAAATGATGTGATTGGCACCATCAGTACCAGATCTGAAGGAACAACACTAAAGATCTTATTTCCCTGATACAGTTAAACTGATACTACATCTTCTCTAACTCAGTATGCTTGAGCTCTGAAGCTGGGAATTCTAGATCAGCAAATGGGAATTACCAATATAGCATGGAAAGTATGGAAATAGAGTGGCCAAGACTCTCTCATAAATAGAATATTACTAGACATACTTTTAATAATATATTTGAGATAAATAAAAATTTACTTGTTAAATTTCAGTGTTATTGATCAGAATTATCTTGCACTAGAATAGTTGTTTATGAGATATCTTCTACAAATATTCCAGAAACTACTAAAACTTATTTTGCTGTCAAAGTTATACACTCTATAAAAAAGTAAAAACTGAACATATTCAGTGATATTTTTAACTCCTTTGAAAATAACAGAACCTTTAAACATGAGTATTTTTTTCCACAAACGAAGTTTTTTTTTTTCTAATAGAGTGCTCCATGTCAGATTTACTAACAGTAATAACAAAACTGGAGTCTTACAGGGGATAGAAATTCTAAAATTCCAGATGTAAAACCTTAAAAATGCCAAGAATCACAGTCAAAAATAAGAGTGTTTTAAAAGCTTCCTTGCCAAAACTCTAAGATATGACAATTTCACTCAGGAGTCACTATTATTATTATCATTTTTCTTATTATTAACACAAGCTGGGCAGGCCTTGACAGAAGATTAGCTTGCAATCAGTTTTTGGTTAGAATTTCCAAAACAAATACCATGAATAGTTAATGAACATCAAGGTACATCTGTTTAATAATAATAACATCAGTTCTACATTAATTATTTAAAAATCTCTGGTATCCTTATAAGATTTCCAGAGACACAGCTTTGTATCTTAGATTGATCGCAGGGACCTTGAAGAAGATTTTCTGTTCACATCAAGATTTTTATTCTCTGAGGCACAGAGAAATGAAACACATCATTTTTTCCTGTGCCCAGAATTATGGTCTCTACCCGGTATTCTGATTATTTAAATATAGATAATTCATAAATATGCAGTTCAAATACCCATTGCTCCTCAAAGCAATTTTGACCACCACGTGACTTTCATTGCATTTGTTCATAATACTTAGCACTTTTTTTTTTTTTTTTTTTTGAGACGGAGTCTCACTGTGTCACCCAGGCTGGAGTGCAGTGGCATGATCTCGACTCACCGCAACATCTGTCTCCTGGTTTCAAGCAATTCTCTGCCTCAGCCTCCCAAGTAGCTGAGATTACAGGAGCCCGCCACCAAGCCCAGCTGATTTTTGTATTTTTAGTAGAGATGGGGTTTCACCATCTTGGCCAGGCTGAGCATGTATATATCTATCACATTTTCCTTAGCCACTTATTGATTGATGGGCACTTGGGCTGGTTCCGTATTTTTACAATTGTGAACTGTGCTGTTGTAAACATGCATGTACCAGTATCTTTTCGTATAACAACTCTTTTCCTCTGGGTAGACACACAGTAGTGGGACTGCCAGATAAAATGGTAGATCTACTTTTCGTTCTTTAAAGAATCTCCACACTGTTTTCCACAGTACTTGTACTAGTTTATATTCCCACCAGCAGTGTGAGTGTTCCCTTTTCATCACATCCACGCCAACGTCTACTATTTATTTATTTATTTATTTTATTATGGCCATTCTTGCAGGAGTAATGTGGTATTACATTGTAGTTTTGATTTACATTTCCCTGATAATTAGTGATGTTGAGAATTTTCTTCATATGTATGTTTGCCATTTCTATGTCTGTTTTTGAGAATTGTCTATTTACTTTCTTAGCCCACTTTTTGATGGGATTGTTAGTTTTTTTCTTGCTGATTTGTTTGAGTTCCTTGTAGATTCTGGATATTAGTCTTTTGTCAGATGCATAGTTGGCGAAGATTTTCTCCCACTCTGTGGGTAACTACGACCACAATTTCTGACTCCAAATTGCCCTATAGTCTCCCACCCCTCCCAGCGTCCTTGAGTATGTTATTTTTTTTTTCCTGGAAGACGCTTCCTGATTTTTTTCTGTTTAATTCTACTTACCTTTTACAACTCAGCCCTATGAACATCTCTCTTTCAAAGACTTCTCTGAACACTTCCGCACCTTTGTTTTTCATGTAGTTATTTCTTTTTCTAAGATCTCTATGTTCCAATAATATTACAACGTTACTAAGAGTATTAAATATGATAATAGTTGCGAAGCAATTAATAGTGCATTAGTACCTAACAGACACCACAAATTATTTTTTAATTGTTTAAAATTTATTTTTAGGATAAATTTTAAATTTAAAAAATTTTAATTATTAAATTATTTAAATTTTAATTATTAAAAAATTTTTAAAAATTAAAATTCAAAAATTATTTTTAAAATTTATTTTTTAAAATCATTACCAAGTATATACTCTATTATTCTCTTACTCCTTTATACAGTATCTCCCAATTGTTCAACCATAATGCTTGATAAACTGTTTTTCAAAGGTAAATCTGTCTTTAGCATCTTCACTGAATATGGAATAGAAGGCAGGATCAAGCAAAAGGTACTGTTTATAATACTGTTTTATTTGTTTGGAAAATTCTCATATATTTTTGGATGAGATTTTATATTTGAAAAAGCTTCTATACACAAGCTGTATCTTGATTCAAGTATAACACTTTGTATAACTTAAGGAACTTCTGATTACAAATCTTTTACCTTGATCAATAATGCATACTGGTTACAATTGCAGGCACAGTCTTTTCTCTGAATGCCAATAACTAAGTTACTTAAGATGAAAGATAAGTGATAAAATATTGTTACTGCTTCTATCACCCTGTTAGGAAATAGGTGTAATATGGTAAATTGTGTCCTCAAGTTTTATCCTTGTTGATTCTGGGAGCCTGATTGCATTATATGCACAGCAATTGTTCAAAATGCTGCAATAGGGGTAATTGTGAGAAGGTGGAGGGTGGGAATTATGGATAAGACCATGGAGATAGATGGCCTGGCTTTTAATTTCATTTCTATGCTGATAATTTGACCTTGAACAAGGTGCTTAATTTCCCCATGATTCAATATGCTTGTGCAGATATAATAATGATGTTAGGATTTGTCTCCCAGCATCATTGTGAGAGTGAAAGAGGATGTAGGAGCTACACCACTCACTACAGTGCTCCCCACATAGCAGGCACTCAGTAGATCTTGATCATTATTTCGATCCCCTTTGGAGCCCCTTTCATCCTTCTGAGACAGAAGCCACACATTACTGGGTACCTGGTGACACCCAGCCCATTATTCCTTCCTAGTTGGGTACTTTACTCTTATTGCATCTAGTCCAGTCTCAAAGTCAAGTTTCTCAAGGCCTTTATTTCTCTAAACTGACTGGCATATGTGGTATATAGAAAGTACACAAGTCTATAAAAAGATTTGAGACTTCGTGCTCCAATCAGGCCCAATACATCTTTGAGGTTTCATAATAGAGAATAGAGAACAAGGATATCCATAAACCCAGGCTAATTTCTTAAAATCTATTTCTTATTTAGAGCAGGAAAGGCTTCCATGTGGAGACATTAGGACTTAAATAGTCACAAGTATGCACATGTCATTTAAGAAGCAGCTGAGATTTCTTCATGTATTTGCTTGCAAGCTGTTTGTTTTCTCCTCTCTATTCCAGCTGGAAATTGCTTATAGCCTCTCTCAGAAGGACTTGTCAGCACAAACAATGCAGATTGCAAAATGAGAAAATCTGAAACAAAAGCACATGCTCAAATCTCCCAGGTAAATATGCTTCCTAATGAAATCTTTTTCTTTGCAGCCTCCTGTACCAAAATAGTAAACTTTTCCTGTAGTTCTAAACCATTCTGAATCTGTGTCATGTGAAGGCAGGGCATCTGTGGAAGGAGGGACTCTACATCAACATGATTTCTGGTCCCTGAAGACTACTTCATGTATTTACCATTCAAGCTATTCAAGGAGTCTGTCATAATTGCACTAAGTTCTTTGACCACTGGAGCACATGAGCTGACTTATAAAATGAAGGAATACCAACACAAATGAAAGGGTCTGTCATAAAGACAAGTTACTGAGAGATGTGTGTAGTTTGAAAAATAAGATGATGGCAGGACACGGTGGCTCACGCCTGTAATCCCAGCACTTTGGGAGGCCTAGGAGGGCAGATCACAAGGTAAAGAGATGGAGACCATCCTGGCCAACATGGTGAAACCCCGCCTCTACACAAAAATTAGCTGGGCATGGTGGCACACGCCTTATTCCCATCTACTCAGGAGGCTGAGGCAGGAGAATCGCTTGAACCCTGGAGGCAGAGGTTGCAGTGAGCTGAGATTGTGCCACTGCACTCTAGCCTAGCGACAGAGTGAGATTCCATCAAAAAAAAAAAAAGAAAGAAAGAAAGAAAGAAAAATAAGATGATACATCCAGTATCAGAAAGCCTGTGCTAATTGTGAGCATGAAACTAAGCCACAAGAATGTCCAATGAATAATTAGAGGAGGCTAGGTAGACCCATAGGATGCACAATGAAAGCTAAGATGTTGCAGTTAGTAAGCTAAAATTCAGCAATGATGATAGCTGATATGCATAGAATAGTTACTGTGTGCCAGGAGCCTTTTCATTTTATCCCAACAACACACCAATGAGAAGATTGCAATTTCTATCCCATCTGTGTATATAATGAAACGCCTAAACAGAGAAATTTAGTAAGTGCCCAAGTTAAGACACATTCTGTGTACTGTAGCCAAGCCTTCCACTGGGCCACATTGTCTCTGGGGCCATTAAGAACCCACACGCTTAATGGCTGGACACTTTTTTCACTGGGATTAGAAAAAGAGGGTAGAGAGGAGAATAATGAGCTTGAGGGTGTGTCTACCTTTAATTTTCTAGCAGTTACATATATCTACCTTTAATTTTCTAGCAGTTACATATAAGGTCAATACTCATGTATAACACAACAACAGCAGAAAAAACAAAATAATTCTCATCACTCAGCGAATTTAAATTATGGAATATAAGTTGCCAGCATATAATGATGCCAAGGCTGGGAATAAATATGGAGGAGGGGAAAAAAGCTGAGTCACTGTCCTTGTGATGATCAGTGGGTCAGAAAAAGGGCGGTGTAAAAGAAGTCATCAGTTCTTTGCTTTTCACTTTCCCAGACCAGATATTGAGAAATAGGCTTTCAAAATTATGATAATTATGTCTGACCACATGTATAAAACTTCATGTTATTAACAATAATGATAATAAATACTTCTTCAGACACAATTCCATAGCTGGGACAATTTTCTTTAGCATATATATTCATAGCATTATTGTTCTTTCCACTTATTGTAGCTATTGTTCCTTTATGTAACTCTCTTTTATGAATTGCCTACTGGACTTACACTCTCATTCTATAAGGTAGGGACTATTTAAGTTGCTTTTAGGTCAACATTATACTTATTGTCTAACTAACTATACCATAAGTATCCCTTCAGTAAGTTAAAAGGATGGGTTTGATTTTCTGATTTCCAAGCCTAAAGCTTATCAGAGCATGTGGTAGTGCAAGTTGTCATAGTTTTAATGATGAGAAAAGATGGCTGATGGAAATGAAAAGGACAAACTACCCAGGAAAAACAAAACAAAACAAAAACAAACAAACAAAAAACCAAAACAAACACAAAAACTAACATCAAGGCACCAAAACAACAAAAAGAGAACTCAAACAGGGATGTTGGGATAAAGCCTCGAGCCATTTGTTTAAAAGAATAAACTGTATTATATCATTCAATTGTTCTCTCTTCATCCATTTCAGTGTATCACTATTTGTGGCAGATGAATAAACTATGAGGAGGAATAGTTGAGGTTTTTGTAAAAACTGCATTTTTTACAATGGTTGTAGTTGTGTGTACACACACATACACACACAGAGAGAGAGAGAGAGAGAGAGAGAGAGAGAGAGAGAAATAAATAAATAATTGTCTTTTCAACCACTGTTGGGGAGGAAAAAAAAGTAACAAATGTACAATAACTATAACTAGTCTCTTTTTCAAAGATGAGACAAAGTCATATTATCCTTTAGAGGGGGATTTGATCTGTTTCCTTTTGCATACAAACCTCAAATCTTTCCCAAACAATTAGTTTTAGTTGTACTCCACAGTGCTCAAACTAATTCAATAACATTCCCTCTGGATTTCATCCCTCAGCTACTGTTGGCATCATCATTTTTCCCCACAAAGTCTTGCACTGGAAGACGATGTTAATTAGCAAAAGGATAATATAGCCTCAGTGAAAAGATCATATTCAATTTGCTGTACTAAATGCCATGTTGGATATTTCTTTTAAGAGAAACATAATTTACATTAGCACTAAAATTACAATCACAGCTTAACAAACTTAGTGATGGCAATAAAAATATAATGTTTTTAATAATTCCGAAATACGTAATTTTGTTTTTAATGGTAAAATCAACACCAGGGCACTCTCCTTGTGGATTTCTCTTATCTAAGATACAAAGAAAAATCATCCTGGAAAAAGAGATATGGATATGATAAATTGTTTCTACTACCTGCCCGACTTTATTTGTGTTTTAGACCTATAATGTTCACATAAACAACATGATCTCCATATATCACACACATAAAAAGAAAGCCAAATTTCTTAGTAGTTATGAGCAGAAATATTAGAGTTACATATTTCCGGGATTTTTTTAAAAAGCACTCAATTGCTGACTGATCTTGGCGAAGTTAATTAACCTTACCAAGAATTGGGTTTCTCATCTTTAAAATGAGAATACTAATTCCAAACTCATAGATACAGTATCCAAGAAATAATGGAATGTAAAGTGCCTAGTACAGTAAATCCAGCATAAACCCAGTTACAGCACTCACAGTCCTGCTTCCTCCTTACATCCATTCAATCACATCCATATATGTCCTGACAGCATGCCGAGAGAGGGTCTTATATTCTTAAATGAGATCCGTGTAACCTCATCCCAAATGGACTTGACATAGATAATGTTGAAACTTTCTATCACTTTCAAAGAGCCACGTCATTGGATTAACCACAGGATTGTTAGTGAAAAATAACAGGACTCATGTTCACTCCTGCTATTTTGTTATGGTAATAACAATTAGTTAACACATTGCCTATAAAATTTTTCAGTTTAATTGTTAATTGATATTAACTGGGTACATGTAGGTCTATAGATATTACATACATACTATAATACATATAATTATAATAATTCTGAATAATAAACATACTCATACAATACTGAATAATTCTGAAACATAAATACTTGGGACTAGAGCTTTCCAGTAAGACTGCCTGGCTTATAACTTTGGTTCTATGATGTAAAGGCAGTGTAATCCTTCAGCATTGTGTCTATGTTCTCTGTGCCTCTGTCAAGTGGGAATGACAAATGTATAGCTTAGCAGTGAGAATTAAATTGCATCATATATCTCTAGCACTAAGAATGGGTATATGATAAGAATTCAATAAGAGTTAGAAGCTTTTCAGTTGTAGCTCTGATTACTCTTGTGTTTTATTATTGTTTTTGATATTATCATTGTGGTTGGATAGCATTGAGTGGACTAATAACATGCGCTCAGAAATCAAGAAAATCAAGGTTTAAATCTTTAAATCTCTTTCTGAGCTTGGATTTTAACATCTGTAAAATGATAATGTGACATCTAAACAAATTAGGCATTGATAGTTATTTTTTTGTCTCAACTTCACTGGGCTAAAGGATGCCCAGATAGACAGTGAAAACATTACTTATGGATGCACCTGTGAGAATGTTTCCAGAAGAAATTAGCATTTGAATCCATACACAGAGTAAAGAATATCTGCCCTCACCAGTGTGAGTGAGTATCATCCTATCCACTGATGGCCCAGATAGAACAAAAAGGTAGAGAAAGGACAAGTGCTCTCTTTCTTTTCTTGAGCTGGGACATCTATCTTCTCCTGCCCTGGGAAATCAGAGCTCCTGTGTGAGGCCTTTAGACTCTGGAACTAACACCAGCCTCCCTCCCCAACCTCCCATATACCTCCCTGTTCCCTCCCACAATCCTCAGGACTTTGAACTTGGACTGAATTACACCTCCACCTTTTCTTTTTCTGTATCTTGCAGTAGGTACATTGTAGGACTTCTTAGCCTCTATTATTTTGTGAGAAAATTCCCATAACAAAACTCTTCTTAAATATCTACATATACTATTGGTTTTATTTCTTTGGAGAACTCTGACTAATACTTGTATGGAAGGAAGTTGCCTCAACATGGTGAAGTACATATATGAAAAGCCCACAGGGGACATCATGCTCAATGCTGAAAAACTGAAAGCTTCCCCTCGGAGACGTGAGAAAAGAAAAAATGCCTATTCTCTCCACTTCATTTCAACATGGTACTGGAATTGCTAGGTAGAGCAGTCAGGCAAGAAAAGAAATAAAGGAGATCAAAATCAGAAAATAAAAGGTAAAATTATCTCTGCAGATGTCATAATATTATCTATAGAAAACCTAAAACAACTCCACAAAAATTATGAGAACTAATAAATAAATTCATGAACATACAGGATACAAAATCAAAATGCAAAACTCAGTTGTGTTTCTATACACTAATAACAAACTATCTGAAAGAAATGTTAAGAAAACACTTTCATATGCAATAACATCAAGCAGAATACAATATTTAAAAATAAACTTGGCCGGGCGTGGTGGTTCACGCCTGTAATCCCAGCACTTTGGGAGGCAGAGGCGGGCGGATCACAAGGTCAGGAGATCGAGACCATCTTGGTTAACATGGTGAAACCCCGTCTCTACTAAAAATACAAAAATATTAGCTGGGTGTGGTGGTGGGCACCTGTAGTCCCAGCTACTCGGGAGGCTGAGGCATGGCGTGAACCTGGGAGACGGAGCTTGCAGTGAGCCGAGATTGCGCCACTGCACTCCAGCCTGGGTGACAGAGCGAGACTCCATCTCAAAAAAAAAAAAAAAATTAAATAAGATAAACTTAACCAGTAAGTAAAAGACCGAGACACTAAAAACTATAAAACGACTGTAAAAATAAATTGGAGTGAATCCAAATAAATGGAGAGACATCCCGTTTGTTGAGTAGATTACTATTGTTAAAATTTCCATGCTACTGAAAGCAACGTACAAATTTGGTGCAATCCTGAACAAAATCTCAATAATGTTTTATATAGAAATAAATGAAACAATCCTAAAATTCATATGAAACCATAAAAGACCCAGAATAACTACACAAATTTTAAGCAAGAAGAACAAAGATGGGAGCATCACACTTTTTGATTTCAAAATATATTATAAAGCTACAGTATTCTAAACAGTGTGACACGGGCATAAAAATTGATATATGAGTCAATGGAGCAGAATAGAGAGCCCATAAATAAATGTACACATATATGGTAAATAGATATTTGGCAAGGGTGCCAAAAATACACAATGGGAAAAGAATAGCCTCTTCCATAAATGGTGTTGAGAAAACCAGGTATTCACATACAAAAAATGAAACTGGACTCTTATCTTACACCATACACAAAAATCAACTCAAAATGGATTAAAGGCTTAAACACAAGACCCAAAACACTGTATCTCTTAGAAGAAAGCACTGGGGAAAAGCTTCTTGACATTGCTCTTGGTAATGGCTTCTTGAATATGATACCAAAAGCACAAAAAAACAAAATAAAAAATAGACAAGACTACCTCAAATTAAAAAGCTGCTATACACACAGCAAAGGAAAAAAAAAAAAAGAAAAAAAGGCAATCTATGGAATAGGAGAACATATATATACACACACACACGCACACATATATGTATACATGTATACATATGTATACATATATGTGTGCCTATGTGTGTTATATGTGTGCTTGTGTGTATATATATATTATGATAAAGGGTTAATCTCCAAAATATAAAAGAAATTCCTACAACTCAATAACAACACTCAAAAACCCCACTTGATTAAAAAACAGTCAAAGGAGTTGAATAAACCTTTCTCCAAAGAAGACATAGAAATGAACAGCAGGTATATGAAAGGAGCTCAACATTGCTAGTCATCAGGGTAATGCACATCATAACCACAATGAGATATCACCTGACACCTTTTAGGATGGCCATTAAAAAAAAAAACATAATGGTTGGCAAGGAAGTGGAAAAGTAAGGAACCCTTCCATAGTGTTGGTGAGAATATAAATTTAAACAATATGGAGATCCCTAAAGCAATTAAAAACAGAACTACCATATTATCAATTATTGTTCTGGAAAAAATAATTAACATTCAAAAATAATCTGTTTTTTTATTATTAAAAATAAAAATTATTATTCAAGTATTCAAATAAATTAAAATTAAGATCTTGACAAGATATCTGTACCTCTATGCTCACTGCAGTACTAGTCATAATAGCAAAAACATGGAGGCAACCTCAATGTCCATTGGTAGAAGAATGGATAAAGAAAATGTGGTCTATACATACAATGAACTATTATGCAGCCTTAAGAAATAAAAAAAATTCTGTCATTTGTAACAACATGGATAAATCTGGAGGACATAATGCTAGGTGAAATGAGCCAAGCCATAGGACAAATGCTACATGATAAAATTTACATGAGGAATCTAAAAGAGCCAAACTCATAAAAGCAGAGAATTGAATGATGATGTCCAGGGACTGGGGAGGGGAAATGGAAGGTAGTAGTCAAAGGGTACAAAGTTTCAATTATGCAAAATGAGTAAGTTTCTGAGATCTACTGTATGTACAGCATAGTAGCTACAGTTAATAATACCGTCTTATCTACTTAAAAATGTGTTGAGGGTGGAGATCTTAAGTGTTACCACACACACACACACAAACACACACACACACACAGACAAAGATAATAAATAAAGAAGGTAGAAGTGAACTTTTGTAGCTAAGGGATACACTTATAACATAGATTGTAGTGATGGTTTCACAGGTGTATATTGCCTCCAAAATCATCAAGTTGTACAAGTTCAATATGTATAGCTTTTTGTACATCAATCATACCTTAATAAAGTGCTTTAAAAACAACAAAAAAAGGATGGTTGTGATAAGTAAATGAATTTTTTATACAAAATAATTAGCCTGGTTCCTGTGACAATGGAAGCACACTCATACACATTTACGTTTTTATATTTATGTTTGCAAATATATTACTCATAGCATATGTGTTATATATAACATTAAGTATATAATTTTTAATAATTTATGTTTGATGGATTCTTGTCCTTGTTTTTCCTCTGCAATATTTTATGTGTTCCTCTTATTTGTTTTCATGGGTGCCTAATGGGCATAATAGTGAGACAGGAACACAAACAGAACTCAAAAACTACCCTTGATGTATATTTCATATTCGAAAGTGGAGAGAAGAAAGAAGTTTTACATTTCACTGACTCCTGTCTGTCTGCTTGTATTTCTCTAGAGTCAAATGTTATTCTTTTACAGAACAAAACATATCATTGGCATGATTGTCCAAAACAAATAGCTTTCTTCAAACATTAATTGGGAACATTTGTGGCAAGAAAATTCCAAAATCAAAATGGTCCACAGTCAGACACAGTTCCTTTGTTTCTCTGTCCACCCATCAAGAATATGTTTTGTATTTGTATGGAGTTTTTAATGTATTTGTATGGAGTTTTTAAAGAAAATAATCTTTTAAAAAATAACCTGTCTGGTTCTTCAGGCAGAGGGATATTGTTGCTGATCAATATCCCATTGGCAGATCCCAAGTCAATAAACATTAAATGAGTACCAGCTATGAATTAAGCATAATGTTAGCTCTATCAACACAAAGGTTATGCAAACCATTCACAGAAAATTATTTAATATAGAGGAAAAGGTTGGTATGAGCAAACAGAAGCAATAGAAGCAATGAAGGACATTGAAGAGATTAGGAAAGTCAATCACAAGATTCAGAAGCATAAAATGACATGGTGGGTTTAGGCAAGAGTAAATTTCTCAATTATTCAATTGTAGAGTGCTAGAATGTAAACAGAAATGAATGAAGATATGTGCTAACACAAGAATAATGAGTCTGAGCAGGGAGCATCTTTGGGTTGGGTACAGTGGCTCACAACTGTAATCACAGCACTTTGGGAAGCTGAGATGGGAGGATCACTTGCAACCAGGAGTTTGAGACCATCCTGGGACACCCTGTCTCTAAACACACACACACACACACACACACACGCACACACACACATACCCCACCACCACCACCAACAACAACAACAACACCAACAAAAACCCAAAAAACAAACAAAAAAAGGTAGCTGGATGTGGTGCCATGCACCTGTAGTCCTAGATACTTGGGAGGCTGGGGTGAAAGGATTGTTTCATCCCAGGATTTCAAGGTTGAAGTGAGTTATGATGGTGCCACTGCACTCCAGCTTGCGTGACAGAGCCAGACTCTGTCTCTAAAACAAACAAACAACCAAAAAAAAAACAAATAAACAAAAAAACCAGAAACATCTTTGTTTAAGCTTTGACTAGTGGTATGAGTCATTATTGTCTTGATGACTGGAAGTCAAGGACAAAGTTTAAGTACAAAGGTAACAGTTGGCTTTTCATATGGCTTTACTGGTGTTCAGATTTTTGTTGTTGTTTTTAATGAGTTAATTTCTTCTTAATTGTATGCATAGCTCCTTACAGAAAATCATCTTGGCTTCTTTCTATAGAATGCCTAACAGGACAAACGTAACCTTCCCAAGTAGAGGCAGATGTATACAGTAAGGCTTAAAAACAGACTTTGGAGTCAAACTAATTTGAGTTTTGTCACACACAGGTTAATTAACCTCTCTAAATCTCAATAGAGAAAAGGTTATAATAATAGCAATGCTCTCTTCCTAGTCCATGGCCAGAGCATTCATATCCCTCAGGTCTTAGCTTTTCAGAGAAGCCTTCCTGACCGCTGTACATAATTATTTTCTGACCTTCATTCAGAGCTGACTTCATGGGCATATGACCAGTGAAGTTGCATTGGTCCCTCCAACTCAGAAGGGCACCTTATTTGGAGTTCAGTGGTCTGCAATTGCTGTCCTGCAATTATCTCCCTCTCTCTCTCTCTTTTTTTTAAACAGTCTCTTGCTCTGTCGCCCAGGCTATAGTGCAGTGATGTGATCCTCGTTCACTGTAGCCACAAACTCCTGGGCTCAAGTGAGTCTCCTGCCTCAGCCTCCCAGCTAGCTGAGACTACAGGTACATGCTACCAGGAGTTCTTAATAATTTTGTCTTTGAATTTGTATTTTGTAACTGAAGTCCAAGGAGACAATGGAGCATGTGCCCAGGACTTGGAACCTTGGCTTATACATCCTATCACAATCTACCACATTCCTGGGATGAGTTCTCTGCCACTTGCTCCCCTGCCTCCTGGTTTCCTGGGCTCACCCAGCCTCACCCTCTTTTCTCCACTCATGGCTACCACCATCCTTCGCACTGGCAGGTTCACGGATAGGGGTACAGAAGGTTACAGTTGTATGCACTTGCCCCATGACATCTCAGAGTGGGGCATAGTAGTGGCTGTCACTGCTGCAGGCTGGCAACACAATGGTTTGTCTGGCAGATGATTGACTAGAGCCTGCATCTCAGCATGGGGAAGCCTTTAGTGGAACCCCAAACCATCTACTAAAACCTCTGGGAGCTGGCCATCTACTGTGAGTTGCAGTGAAAAGCCTGAAGGAAGGAAACACAGCTGATATCCCACTTCCCAAGACTCTACCCATGGTCAGGGAATAGAGTGTCAGATCATCAGCTAGCAGATGGGGAGCCAGGCACTCAACAGGCTCCAGCAAGCACAGGTATGACAAATTTTATGTGGCAGGGCCCATGGTCCTCTCTAAGGGTCTGCACTCACCCACGAGTATGTCCCATGCCCAGGAGTATCTCTCAGCCACTCCCATGCCAGTGGGATTATCTCGTCCACCTTCCAAACTTCCTGAATCTGACTTGTGTTTGTAGGATTTTGTTGTTGTTGTTGTTTGAGATAAAGTCTCTCTCTGTTGCCCAGGCTGGAGTGCAGTGTCGCCATCACAGCTCACTGCAACTTCTGCCTCTCAGGTTCAAGCAATTCTTGTGCTTCAGCCTCCCAAGTAGTTGGAATTACAGCTTGCGCCACCACACCTGACTAATTTTTGTATTTTCAGTAGAGACAGGGTTTCACCATGTTGGCCAGGCTAGTCTCAATCTCCTGTTCTGAAGTGATCTGCCAGACTTGGCCTCCCAATGTGCTGGAATGACAGGCGTGAGCTACCACACATGGCCTGACTTGTGTTTGTTTCATCTAGCCAGCTTGAGACACTCTCCAGGGAGGAGCTGTGAAATAAGAATTGTGTAATTTCAGAACATAGAATCAAATGAGGCATATAAAATAACAAGTAACATATATCAAGTCAATATTTAATTACAAATTATTATTCCATTAGGGTAGAATCTATATCTGTCTTGTCAAATACTAAATATTGCATAACAATGAATGCCTGCCACAGATTAGGCATCTAATAAATATATACTGAATAAGTTAATGGATAAATGAATGGATGAGCAAACAAATGAACGCAAGATGGTATAAGGATTAAATGGAAAAATGTACAATAAAAATTATTATAGTTCCTGGAACATAGGCCTGCAATTGGTGGTCATTGACATGGTGGCAGTGACAGTGGTGAAAGTGACGGTGATGATATTATTCCACTTGATACAATATATTTTGTACAGTAGGAATTTTCTTGAAATACCAAATTAATAATCTTTTTGTGCATGACTTGTTTTCTTATTCTCTCTTATGTTTTGTACCTTTGCCCTATGTACTCTTCTTCTGATTGAAATGTTGTTTATCTTTCCCTCTCAACCTACACTCATTCCTAACTCCTATCTCCTTGTTAATTCTTACCCCCATAACAGAAATTAGCAAAAATATTACATACTCAAAAAGACCTGTCTGGAGATCTCTGCCTAGGTCACATCCACATAAATATTCTTCCAATGTGCCACTCCGAGCACATTATCTGAGTTATGATTTGTATCTGTGTGATTTGTGTATAGGTGTGAGTCATCTTGCATACTAGCTATATGTTCCACAGGTGTAGGGTGTATATTTTTGCTCAACATGGTATCCCAACACATAGCTCAGATTCTGGCCCAGGGTTGCTATGTAACACACATTTAGTGCATAAATTTGTGATTAAAGATACAGGAAAAAAAGGGGTTATAGCAAATGAAGATTGTGGGGGACTATTAGCAAGGAGCATTATTCTAAGCAGTGAAAACCTCTCCAGTCTGTTTCCAATAGAGTTTCTTTATTGTTCCTTTTTCAACCCCTTTTTAAATCCTTATAATGGCTATTCAGGTCTCCGCACGTGTTTATTTCTTTGTTCTTCATGCAATTTCTTCCTTCCAAAGAGTCCATTTGGTAGCTCTGATAAGTCAAGAGAAGATATGCATCCTCTCGGCTTTCAGAGCTCTGCAGTGTAGACTTGGCTAAAGTCCTGAAGCCCCCCAAAATATAAAGAGCCAGCTGAACATGCGGCATGAATTTACCTTTCTCCTCGTGTTTACTGTCTCTGCATTTCTGGTTCAACTTCAGTTGCCTGAGTTAATATTCATCCTCAAAAACTTGAAAGAGCCTAATTTTTGCATTTTTGGAAGATATCCTAGAAGAGGTGTATTTCTCCTTTTATAAAAGGAATCTTTTACAATATGAGTGAAGCCTTCTTTAATAATACAAATTATGAATGCAAATTTGCATGACCAAAATCTTTTATTTAAAATGAATGAAGAAATCATAGCAGATTACAAACTGAAAAGATTACAAATATCACACAGTCCAAAAGAATAGCATATTTTTAATTAATTAACTTATTGAAACACTTCCATAATACTTTTTGTTTTCTAAAGTATTTGTCTGTGTAGTCTCATGACAGTTTTGGATTATCCTGTTTTATAGAGTGAATAGAAAGTTATTTTCAGTCTTTTATCTAGCAAGTTTGATTGTTTTTTGCTTATTTTTCTTGAATTATCAACGATATCCTTGAAGGAATAAAAATGGTGATTTGACTAGGTTTCAGTGAGAACAAAATTCTTTCTTTACAAAGTTACATGTGTATGGGTTAGAAGATTATTCCACACACAAGTTTTAAATTTTACATCTTTTTTCTCCTCCATCGCTTAGTTCTGATGTTGGGGGCCATAGGACATTTTTGCATAATGATACCAACTATTTATGTTTTGCTATGAGAGACAGAATCATAGCTTGGGAAGTCATTCTCACTTTGAGACAGCCAGCAGTAGCAACCATACACACAGCAAACGAACTATATAAAAATATTCTGTGAAATCCATGTATTCCTGGCACGATTTTCCTTTAGCCAGATCCCAAAAATGTCCATGGAGCACCTCAACTCCAACTAACCCAAGCAAAGAGTAAGACATAGAAGGATTTGGGAAGGAAAGACACAATGACCAATCAAGATTAAAATGTTTTACTTTGCAAATTGTATAAAAGCCTGACAATCTGGCTACGGTGGTGGACCCTCTGAAATAATGGGCCCCTGTGTTGAGCTGCTTTTTTGTTTTGGTAAATATATCTTTTCTTCCTAAACAAACTCCTCTTGGCAAACATCATTCAGTAACACGAGCCTTCTCTCTGTCAGGAAAATAATATATTATCAGGAACATCATAAGGATACAATGCTGATGGCATGTTTCTTTTCAGAGGAGGGATATTGAATCAAAGTGCTGGCCTAGATCCTACCTACTACTAGATTCCAGATTACACTGAAGAGGACGTAGTAAGAATAATTGTTACCATAGCTCTCATAGCAAGCTTTTTTTTTTTTTTTTTTTTTTTTTGAGATGGAGTCTCACTCTATCGCCTTGGCTGGTGTGCAGTGGCACGATCTCGGCTCACTGCCAGCTCTGCCTCCCGGGTTCAAGTGATTCTCCTGCCTCAGCCTCCTGAATAGCTGGGACTACAGGAGCCCCCGCCATGCCCAGCTAATTTTTTTTTTGGTATTTTTAGTAGAGATGGGGTTTTGCCATGTCAGCCAGGCTGGTCTCGAACTCCTGACCTCAAGGTGATCCACCCGCCTCGGCCTCCCAAAGTGTTGGGATTACAGGCATGAGCCACTGCACCTGGCAGCAAGCTTTTTTTAAACTACATACTGTATAACATACACTGTGTCAAGAGTTACATGATGTATTTCATTGTTTTTTATGATGTCTCTGTGAGAATGTCTGTGTAATAGTTTCACAGTACAGGCAAAAATGCTGAAACATAGACAAATTAAGTAAACTATCCCAATGATAAGCTGGTAGAATTGGCATTTTCAGTACGGAAATCTGATTCCAGTGCTCTTAGCCACTATATTTCAGTGCTTCTTGGTTTCTTATACATATCTTTTCTCAAAAATGTAAAGAATCTAAGTTTTGGAATGCAAACAAGTTAAATTTAAATCTCCCTTGGAATATCACTAGTTAAATGAATCAGTTTCTTTTTACTGTTATCAATTAAATTTTGCTTCTTATCTGTAGGATAATAATTTTCAAGTACATACTTCATAACACTTTTTGAAAAATAAGTGAGATAATGTGCAAGACAACCTTTAGCCCATTGGACAAGGCATGTCTCTGAGCTGTAGTTTCTTCATGTCAGGCCTCTGAGCCTAAGCCAAGCCATCGCATCTTCTGTGACTTGCACGTATGCATCCAGATGGCCTGAAGGAACTGAAGATCTACAAAAGAAGTAAAAATAGCCTTAACTGATGACATTCCACCATAGTGATTTGTTCCTGCACTACCTTAACTGATCAATGTACTTTGTAATTCTCCGCACCCTTGAGAATGTACTTTGTGAGATCCACCCCTGCCTGCAAAACATTGCTCTTAACTTCACCGCCTATCTTAAAACTTGTAAGAACTAATGATAATCCACCACATTTTGCTGACTCTCTTTTCGGACTCAGCCTACCTGCACCCAGGTGAAATAAACAGCTTTATTGCTCACACAAAGCCTGTTTGGTGGTCTCTTCACACAGACGCACATGAAATTTGGTGCCGTGACTCGGATTTGAAATTGGTGAGATGTTTCTTGGGCTGGTCGGTCTGAGGACCTGAGGTCGTAGGTGGATCTTTTTCATGGAGCAAAGAGCAGGAGGACAGGGGATTGATCTCCCAAGGGAGGTCCCCCCGTTCCCCTCATGACACCGACACAACAAAAAAGAGTTATTCCACTAATTCCCTTGATGGTCAGTTTAGGACTTTCTGCCTCCACTATTGCTCTCAGTACTGGAATAGCAGGCATTTCAACCTCTGTCACGACCTTCCGTAGCCTGTCTAATGACTTCTCTGCTAGCTTCACAGACATATCACAAACTTTATCAGTCCTCCAGGCCCAAGTTGACTCTTTAGCTGCAGTTGTCCTCCAAAACCGCTGAGGCCTTGACTTACTCACTGCTGAAAAAGGAGGACTCTGTATATTCTTAAATGAAGAGAGTTGTTTTTACCTAAATCAATCTGGCCAGGTGTATGACAACAAAAAAACTCAAGGATAGAGCCCAAAAACTTGCCAACCAAGCAAGTAATTACGCTGAATCCCTTGGGCACTCTCTAATTGGATGTCCTGGGTCCTCCCAATTTTTAGTCCTTTAATACCCATTTTTCTCCTTCTTTTATTCGGACCTTGTATCTTCCATTTAGTTTCTCAATTCATCCAAAACCGTATCCAGGCCATGACCAATCATTCTATACGACAAATGTTTCTTCTAACATCCCCACAATATCACCCCTTACCACAAGACCTCCCTTCAGCTTAATCTCTCCCACTCTAGGTTCCCACGCTGCCCCTAATCCCGCTTGAAGCAGCCCTGAGAAACATCACCCATTCTCTCTCCATACCACCGCCCAAAAATTTTCGCCGCCCCAACACTTCAACACTATTTTGTGTTATTTTTCTTATTAATATAAGAAGGCAGGAATATCAGGCCTCTGAGCCCAAGCCAAGCCATCGCATCCCCTGTGACTTGCAGGTATACATCCAGATGGCCTGAAGTAACTGAAGATCCACAAAAGAAGTAAAAATAGCCTTAACTGATGACATTCCAACATTGTGATTTGTTCCTGCCCCACCCTAACTGATCAATGTACTTTGTAATTCTCCCCACCCTTGAGAATGTACTTTGTGAGATCCACCCCTACCCGCAAAACATTGCTCTTAACTTCACCACCTATCCCAAAACCTGTAAGAACTAATGATAATACACCACCCTTTGCTGACTCTCTTTTCGGACTCAGCCCACCTGCACCCGGGTGAAATAAACAGCTTTATTGCTCACACAAACCCTGTTTGGTGGTCTCTTCACAGGGACGCACATGAAACTTCACACAGCAGCTATTTGCCCTTAGGCACCTCCATTTCCTTTAGCTGAGCAATGGGGTTACATTATTTATTTTAATTGAAGATAAGATAACATGGAAAACAAGCTGGATGTTGTGGTTCACGCCTGTAATCCCAGCACTTTGGGAGGCCAAGGTGGGTGCATCACTAGAAGTCAGGAGTTCGAGACCAGCCTGGCCAATATGGTGAAACCCTGTCTCTACTAAAAATACAAAAATTAGCCGGACATGTTGGTGGGCACCAGTAATCCCAGCTACTTTGGAGGCTGAGACAGGAGACTCGCTTGAACCTAGGAGGCAGAGATTGCAGTGAGCTGAGACTGTGCCATTGCACTCCAGCCCGGGCAACAAGAGCGAAACTCCATCTCAAAAAATAAAAACAAATAAAAAAGAATAAAGAAAGATAAAATGGAAAACAAAGGTGAAAGGGGTATATCAATTGTAAAGTATAATGCAAAATATACGTAGCTAATATTTTCTACTATCTTTTTTAGGAACCATTACTAGTGTCATATTTTGAATTCATAGAACATTATGGCTACTAAGTATATGAACATCAGGTGTTTGAAAAGTCAGATAAAACTTGGGCCTGTGTCCATCTTTGAGGAAAGGGAGGAGACAGGAAAATGAGTTTTAAGTTCGTCCAATCAATTAAAACTAAATTCCTGGTGGCGTAAGTTGTTTCTGGTTTTGACATTTTTGTCCCCATAGGTGGTGAGCACAGAGCCTAGGTGGACTACTAGGTCACTTTTACTTTAATTTCTCTTTGCCACAAAAACAGACTCTGCCTGGAGTTCAACAATAAAACATTTTAAAGTAGGCAATAAAAAAAAAATCACAGTTTTTTATCCATTAATGTAGCTGTATTTTAGACACAGTCTCCAGATTATTCCTTTTTTTATAATGAGGATGACATTTTCTTTGGTGTTGCTTTAAAAATGTAGACTGTAAATGCTGAGAAAGAGGCAATTCTTACACAGTGCATTAAGTGCATTATATTAATTAATTTACATGTCTTTACTGTGCCTCATTCATCCAATTCACACATCTTCCCTAGACCTCAATTTACTATGAAAGCAGTGTCTCTCCTTACACTTTAATTTGGACCAAGACCAAGTGAAACCAAGATGGAAGGGAGATATAAAAAAAGGTGGACATGGTTTATTATAGGGAGAGAGGAAGCAAAATGGCCTCTTAGATATTTCCAACAGAGGACATGACATTTTCAGAAGAGTCAAAAAAAATTTGTAAAGTCACCTTTTCCATTTCGTCACCCATTTACTGTTGGTATATTCATGGCTAGTTACAAGAAAAGGCAGGGTAAAGTCACACTAGGGAACAGTAATTCACTTAGGTAATCATCAGAAAGGAGTAATGGGGAAGTTTCTAAAATGCCAGTGTACACAAGATATTGTTGTGGTACGATTAATGAGCCAAAGGGAGAAATGCCCTTCAAGTAGGCTGACAGTTGCCAAGTCCTCTGACATTTTACCATGTGGCCACAGCCTCTTAAATTCCTTCTGATGCTGAACTCCACTGTAAGATCAGAAAGGTAAATGAGAACAAGAGCAGAAGTTCATTCTTCTGAGGAATTCATGATTTCCTAGTGTAGCTTGTGAATCTCTAATTGCTGCTGCCAATCATGTTTGGCCTTCTTACCTGATCTTTAGTCTGTCAAGCTCATCAATAAAGATTTTCAGCTCAGTAAAAGCAGAAGATTCCAAAACTACAATGGTTCTCTATGACTAAACACATTACTCAATTCTAATATGGCTTTTGGTTTTCTCGCTATTGCCTTAAGTACTTAACTTTTCCCTAATGTCATTCACTCTTATGTCATCTTTCTCTGCCTTCTATACCTGGCATCAAAGCAGAATACCCAACTCTTTCTTCCTGCAGTCATCTAGACAGACAAGCACAAGTACGTTTATCTTTTTAAGGATTACACCCTGATTAATAAGGGAAAGGTAGAATGATACTGACAAAATAACAATGAAAGAATAAACTAATATTTCAGACTTATATACAGTTATCACAGTTCATGGCTCTAGACTGTAGTTTCTACCATCCTTTTAATATTATAAATGGACATAACATTTGGCTGACATTCTTAAATATTTTTCCTATGCTTTTAACTCACTGACTATTTCTCAGTCTTACAGTCTAAACACTATGATGATATGTGTTTTGATAATTCTTAAAGTGAACACGTCTCAATCAACTATACTGCACAGCACAGAACATAGCACTTCCTTGTTCAAATTGTTAATGTGTGTAACTAAGCACTGCAGCTTGGGTTAGGTTTCTTTTGCCACTCCTGCTTTCCAAGAGTGACTCTCACCTTCTTCTCCTTACACATCTTTTTTTCTCAGATCTTAGATCCAATTCGGGAAAACTCATAGGATCCTCAAGCAGGTTACTTCATAGGTTAGCAACAGGATCATCCCCATGGTGTCCATGTCTCCTTCTACCCCAGTTCCTGTAACCAGGTCCCTGCCTCTTCTCTGCTTTGCTCTTCCTAATATCACCCTGTTATTGGGGTCATCCCTTACCCTATGCGGCTTATTACACTCCCCAAGAATTTCATTCAGAGCATAGGAAGTCCCCTGTATCCTTGGAGCCATATGCTCTTGTGAAACCTGGTTAGATGATTTGGTATCTGTCCTGGCCACTTCCTATGTTTCATTCTACTGCTTGTACAGAAAGTAGACTTGCCTATAACCATGGCTCCATTCAAAATGCAGACATTTTTATCATTAAGGAAAGATCAATTTTGATGCATACAAAAATCTCTGGAATGGGAGTGTAGATGCCTCTAAGGAACTACTTTCAGGATCTTTAGTCGGTCCCCTCTATCCCAGCCCCTCATGAATTAACTGTAAGTGTGTCTGTGCCCACAGGTTCAGTTTCACCCTGTGGCTTAGTGAACGACACAATTGGGGCAAGAAAAATACCAATTGACGTTTATTACTCATGGTATGAATGATTTACAAATATATCCTTTCATCCTTCATAGATGTGGAAACTGAGGCTCAGAGTTTAGTTAATCTACCCAAAGTAGCAAGGCTATTAAATGGCAGAGCCATCTTTCTAATTTCCAAAATCCTTGCTCTTAATTTAACGTCAAAGCTGTATTAGAATTGTTGCAGAGAGGTCTTGAAGTGGAGACCTGCTTTTTTGAACTAAAGCCTAAAAGGCACTGGGAAAAAAATTACGGCTGAATTCCCAGCCAGCTAAAGCAGACCTTGCACATTGCAGATGCTCAATAAATATTTATTAAGTGAAATATACAGTGGTCTAATATTAAAATAGAATTGGAAGCAGAGTTAGGAAATTTCTAATCTGTCAGTTTTGTGTTAATCCCTTAATAATCAAGTTAGGTCTGTAGACCAGTGGCATGGCTTCTTCATAAAGCTTATTAGAAATGCAAACTCTCAAGCTTCACCCTAGAGGCCAAGAATCAACATCTGCATTTTAACAAGATCTTCCAGATGATCTGTATGCAAATTAATGTTAGAACAGCTTTGGCCTAAGCTTGGTCAGAGAGTTCATTGAGGCAGAATGGCTTTGAATATCTCGTTATTTGTATAACGATTCCTCACTTCTTTTGGCTGTCTGCTAATTGAACAGACTCCCTCAATTAGACGCTATTGTCCAAGACTAAAGCCCGCTAAAAACCCTTTGTAAATAAAGGTGTAGAGTCATCTTCCTATGTTTGGTAGAAAGTTAGAGTTCTCTACCTTTTTCTGGCTTAGCTTGTGAACTAATCTGCAGTTTTCTGCTACTGATAGTATTAGAGAAATATTTTTGACAAAGGATAAATACAGCACCAACAAATGTTTTCATTGCATCAATTTTACTCTCTCTCCCTTGCCCCACTGGTAACAAAACAACATCATTACATACATGTAAGTAATTTTGGATGTTGGGAGAGGAAGGAATTGGTGGAAATAAACTTAGAAACTTATTCTTTAAAACAATCTGGAAACTTTTAAAGTTTTTATAAATATCTCAGACTGAATGAAGCCTTTAAAAATTATTATTAACAAAATAGAGCCATATGACCAATAATCTAATATTCTTCTATTCACATGGCCACTCTCTGGTACCCTCATTTATATTACCTCAGCAATCCAGAGAACACTGGGGAACGAGGTATGCTTGTTGGAGGGGGTGATCTTTTCGTTTGTTTTCTAATTAAATAACTTATAAGCTTAAAAGAAATGATTACTTAAGATGCTTTCAGTACCTTTAAGAACAAAATAACAATAATCTCATTTGGAGCTATCAACAGAACACGCAAAACTAGTGTGATTTGGGGCTGAAACAAAAGTTTTTAATAAATAAGTTTCCTACCCTAAAATAATATTGCTAGACCTAAAACAGTGAATTCAGTTCTGGCTATAAGGTTTTAAAAAACGGCAAAATTGAATCCTTTCAGTGATGAAGAATCAAGATGATGAAGGGAAAATTAAGGAATGATGGCAGGACCTGGAAATATTTCAAATGGAGAACATTCATTCCAAGGAAAGAATATTTGGCATATACTATAATAAGAGAGATCAGAACTCCCGTGAGTGACCTAATAGTATAGAAAGACTGCCTGTGGTGGAAATAAATTTGTTGGTAATGGTTAGAATTGTTTGAGGAAGGTTCTTACTACAGGAAATTGTATTCAGAGGCTAAATAAACAAACAAGAACAAACCTATTGGTAGTGCTGGGGAGGATAGTCAGAAAACATCTCACTTATCTGTACATTCAGGACTTGATATTTGGTAGATGATCAGCAATTGTATACATGCAAACTTGTTATTTCTTGCCTCAACTGGATCTAGTGTTTGACCCTCCAATATTAGTTCCTCCCTCAAATCTTAAAGACAACTAGAGAGAGACTAATTCTAAAATTTAGCTAATGGATTCAGGTGCTTATCTGTTTCCCCTTCCATCTCTCTATATATGTAGTTCAATAATTATAGTATGCTATCATGATTTTCATCATATCTGCAACAAGTCTCTACTTATCTTCCTTTTGATTGACTCTTTTTAATGTAAACAAATGTATCTTAAAGGGAAACCTTATGTTACTACACAGGAGAAATTAACAAGCGTTAATAAAGTGGTAAAGACATGTTAACTTAAAGCTAAGGCTTCTTTAGTAATGCAATTAGAATGGACAAGAAAGTAACTTCCTCAGCAATTCAATGGCGTTTGTTTCCAGTGTCTGTCTACCCTCTATAAAATGTTTCAATGTTTACTCACACTTTCCAGTTAAATGGTCTATGTATTAGGGCAGTAGGATTTTGATACCTATTTTTAGGTGGTTGTCTAGTTCATAAAACAATTTTTGCTTTGACTCATACTGTATAATGTCTCCCTTTCACACCAAACCCCTCAAGTATTGCTTCAAAGAGAATAAAATACCTAGGAATCCAACTTACAAGGGATGTGAAGGACCTCTTCAAGGAGAACTACAAACCACTGCGCAATGAAATAAAAGAGGATACAAACAAATGGAAGAACATTCCATGCTCATGGGTAGGAAGAATCAATATCGTGAAAATGGCCATACTGCCCAAGGTAATTTATAGATTCAATGCCGTCCCCATCAAACTACCAATGACTTTCTTCACAGAATTGGAAAAAACTATTTTAAAGTTCGTATGGAACCAAAAAAGAGCCTGCATTGCCAAGTCAATCCTAAGCCAAAACAACAAAGCTGGAAGCATCACACTACCTGACTTCAAATTATACTACAAGGCGACAGTAACCAAAACAGCATGGTACTGGTACCAAAACTGAGATATAGATCAATGGAACAGAACAGAGCCCTCAGAAATAATGCTACATATCACTATCTGATCTTTGACAAACCTGAGAAAAACAAGCAATGGGGAAAGGATTCCCTATTTAATAAATGGTGCTGGGAAAACTGGCTAGCCACATGTAGAAAGCTGAAACTGGATCCCTTCCTTACACCTTATACAAAAATTAATTCAAGATGGATTAAAGACTTCAATGTTAGACCTAAAACCATAAAAACCCTAGAAGAAAACCTAGGCAATACCATTCAGGACATAGGCATGGGCAAGGACTTCATGTCTAAAACACCAAAAGCAATGGCAACAAAAGCCAAAATTGACAAATGGGATCTCATTAAACTAAAGAGTTTCTGCACAGCAAAAGAAACTACCATCAGAGTGAACAGGCAACCTACAAAATAGGAGAAAATTTTTGCAATCTACTCATCTGACAAAGGGCTAATATCCAGAATCTACAATGAACTCCAACAAATTTACAAGAAAAAAACAAACAACCCCATCAAAAAGTGGGTGAAGGGTATGAACAGACACTTCTCAAAAGAAGACATTTATGCAGCCAAAAGACACATGAAAAAATGCTCATCATCACTGGCCATCAGAGAAATGCAAATCAAAACCGCAATGAGATACCATCTCACACCAGTTAGAATGGCGATCATTAAAAAGTCAGGAAACGACAGGTGCTGGAGAGGATGTGGAGAAACAGGAACACTTTTACACTGTTGGTGGGACTGTAAACTAGTTCAACCATTGTGGAAGTCAGTGTGGCGACTCCTCAGGGATCTAGAACTAGAAATACCATTAGACCCAGCCATCCCATTACTGGGTATGTACCCAAAGGATTATAAATCATGCTGCTATAAAGACACATGCACGCATATGTTTATTGTGGCACTATTCACAATAGCAAAGACTTGGAACCAAGCCAAATGTCCAACAATGATAGACTAGATTAAGAAAATGTGGCACATATACACCATGGAATACTATGCAGCCATAAAAAATGATGAGTTCGTGTCCTTTTTAGGGACATGGATGAAGCTGGAAACCATCTTTCTCAGCAAACTATCACAAGGACAAAAAAACAAACACCACATGTTCTCACTCATAGGTGGGAATTGAACAATGAGAACACATGGACACAGGAAGGGGAACATCACACACCGGGGCCTGTTGTGGGGTGGGGGGAGGGGGGGGAAGGGATAGCATTAGGAGATATACCTAATGTTAAATGACGAGTTAATGGGTGCAGCACACCAACATGGTGCATGTATACATATGTAACTAACCTGCACGTTGTGCATATGTACCCTAAAACTTAAAGAATAATTAAAAAAAATAAATAAAAAATAAAAGACCCTCTAACCCATTAACTTATTTGCATGACAGGTTTTGTCTCCCAGAATCCCCTACATTTTATTTCACTTAAGTTACACTATCGTTGACAAAATCCCCTGAGATTCTATTTTTAATACTTGTCTGCTTTCTCTAGATAAACTTTGACTACTTGTGGATAATAAAAGATTTGGTTAAGGTAGTATTAGAGGTGAATCTTTTTTATGCAATCCAGGAACAGAGCTATCATTTAAAATGTAAATTGCATTCCCATGTGAACCTTGCTTTCCAAGTCATGTGCTATGTGTGAGAAAAAGGCAAAATGATTAATGGCAGGGTCTTGCATGCAGAGGAAGATCGATTCTTTGTGCTGAACATTCTGGTGATATATTCTAAATCTGACATGTGCCTGTGGCTTTACCCCATTACAGCTGGCATTCTGCAACTTCCGGGGGCTGGGTGACATTGCATAAAGCACACAGGCCTTTGAATCTGACAAACTGGAGCATGAGGCCAAACTCCCTACTAATAATTGTGAGGCTCTGAGCTAGTCTTTGAACCATTCAGAGCTTTACTGGTTTTCTCAAAATATTGAAATGTAATGTCTTTATGCATGGACATGAGGCCTCTCAACATAGGTGCCAGTGCCCTTCAAGTGAGCCAGGTGAATACATGTTGAGGGTTACACAGTAGGTCTAAATCCCTGTATATCTCAACGCAGAGCATAAGGAGACTAGCATAAAGTGATCTTGGAAGAGTTATTGGCAAATATTAGATGTCTCCTACTGCAGGAAGGCAAATAAAAGATATCAAAAAATTGACCCTACCAAAAAAATTAGGGTACTTTTCATCAACTCTGAATGTGAAAACACACTGTACATAACAGCTGTTTTTAATGAATACTGCAATCTAAATAACCAATGTACACTTCATTTTCAAAAATCATATCATCCAAAGAGAAGACTATTTTTCCTTTTTTTATTATTAAGCTTTTACTTTTCTTGACCATATTTTATAATATCCAATTCTCAAGAAAACAATATGTAAAAAGTTAATGAAAGCAGAATATAACTTGTATTAAACCTTTTAAAAAGTCTGCATGCATGAACTCACATCAAACATACACACACACACATGCACGCACATGCACAAACATGTACGTACCCTGCAAGCATCCTCCTTGCTATGTTGACTATGATAGTTAAGAAAAATGAATGTGTTCGGGAATTACTGTTCAGTAGTTTAGAAAATGGGATTTAAGATCGGTTTAAACAAGGTGATAAAGACCTTTCAACCCTTTTCCCTCTTGTTTTATATAGTTTCATTTTTTTTTTTTTTTTGCTCAACAGTATACCCTAGACAGATATCTACATGTTTGACATAATGAAACAATGTCATTACTCTGTTCTAACAAATTCCCAGTGTAATAATAAGCCAAATAACTTCTTACCCACTACAAATATCTGTGTCAAAGAGGAATGAAAATTGCATAGACTGGAGCTATTTCCCTCTCCTCAGACCTCCGTATCTAGGTGTCTTTTTTCATAGCTTAAGCTATAAATTGAATGGCATAATTTGATGATGGACATAGAACTGCATATTAGTTTTTATTTTGACAAAATCATTAAACATCACATAGGTTGAAAAATGAATCACGAAGCCCTAAGCCTGCCTTAGAAGATTGCACTTCATAAACTGAATTGCTCACATGGGCAACATTTTGGTGGAAGTTATAGATTTTCTAGCATATCTCTGATAGATAGGACTAATATAACTTCAATAAAAACTCTGGATATGTCAATATAAAATTTTCCTTACCATTGAAAGATGTAAGATACTCCAACTAATAAATCGGATGACAACATATTCCTTAAGGTATACTAACATACGTATTGGGTTACAACAAGCAACAAAATCATCGAGGTAATAAACCTCAGTCACAGAGGGCCCATTGGAGAAGGTTTCTCTCCATTGCAAGAGTTCATATGATGGCTGTAGATATGAAATACTCCCTGAATGTTAATTTCCAGTAATTGACTCAGCTCTACAGGTAATGACTTAGAACTACATAAAAGCTGTACCTGAATGTCATGTATGCCACCTATATTTATGACACTTCATATGAATTATATGGGTGGTGTAATCAAATTGGTCCTGAAGTGCAAGGTAAACTGAAAAATCAAAGTGAAGAAAGTCTAATTTATGCATTTACCAACAATTTTTCTGTTACTTGAAATAGTGTATTACTTGATGTTTCTGGCCTCATTATCATTATTTGAAAATTGAGGATGATAATGAATATTTCTTAGGGAGGCTACAAGGGTTAAGTGTTGAAGCAAGCAGCCCAATCCTTGGCAGCTGAGAGATGTTAGTTTCCTTGCCTCACCCATTCAGGTTGCTTTTCACCTTCATGACTTATACTGCTCTTGATAATATGCCTTATGTGTGATCCATTATTTTTCCTTCTACTTCATTTATTTTGGGAACATAAATCACTTTGTATTAGTCAATGTTCTTCAGAGAAATAGAACAAATACGATGTGAAAAAAGAGAGTGGAGAGAGAGACAGATTTATTTTAAGGAATCGACTCGTGTGGTTATGTAGGCTGGCAAGTGCAAAATCTGCAATTGAAGTTCAAAGGCCATCAGCAGGCAGTACTACTTCCTCTTGCTCAGGGGAAATCAGTCTTGAGTTATCTTCAGGTGTTCAACAGATTGAATGAGGCCCACCCACATTATGGAAGGCAATCAGCTTTACTCAAAACCCACCCATTTAAATGTTCATCTCAGGCCAGGCACAGTGGCTCGCGCCCTTAATCCCAGCACTTTGGGAGGCCAAGGCAGGCCATTCACTAGAGGACAGGAGTCCGAGACCAGCCATGGCCAACATGGCAAAACCTCGTCTCTACTAAAAATGCAAAAATTAGCTGGCCGTGGTGGTGGGCACCTGTAGTCCCAGCTACTTGGGAGGCTGAGGCACAGGAATCACTTGAACCTGGGAGGCACAGGTTGCAGTGAGCCGAGATCGTGCCACTGCACTCCAGCCTGGGTGAGAGAGCGAGACTCCGTCTCAAAAAAAAAAAAAAAATTCAGAGTATTTTTTGACAGAAACACAGAAACATTCAGAATAATTTTGGACCACATATCTGGGCACATAAAATTAAACATCATACCCTTCTCTACAGAAACCTATCATTGTGTGTCTACGGAAAACAATCTTTGTTCAGAATCCTACTTCTTGGCAATTGAGTTTCAAACTTACTAGATTTTGTTAGCTAGTGAACATCAGGCTATATAATAGTTTTGCTTCTAAGAAAGACTATAAAATACACTTAATAACAAGGAGGCAGGTTTTATTTTTAATCTTTGTAAGCACTAGGCAGGCACCTCGATTTTTAGGATGTCAAATTTGCATCATATCATACATATTAAAATGCTTTAAATATCAGTTTTTAGAACAAGTAAAAAAGCCTTCTAACAATTTGCTTTTCTAATTATTTGACCATGAGTAATTTATTTAATTTAAAATTTAATATGCTTCATTAGAAAACATAGTGCCCACCGAAAAGTTATTCCAAAGTCACAAAACTAAACCCACATGTTTTCAATAAGATGGACATTTTGTGATGGCTAATTTAACAATGCATTCCATTAATTTAAAAAGTAATGAGTTGTCTTAATGTTATCTTTCTAGACACTTAAATTTTTATTAATTTATGTTATTTTATTTTTTATGTTATTCAGCCTCTTTTGCCTAATTTGTTGATCTGAAAGTTGAAGATATTAATGTCTCTTAGAGTGGTAATTTTTGTTAGACCCTGAAACAAATAAAACAATGCTTTGAATCTTAAATACTGTGTGCTTATTGCCTCAAAAGAAGACATATTTCATCTTGCAGTAAATCCTTTTTTGTCTTCATTTCTGACTTTTTCTTCCAGAGATTCAAGATATTTCTGTAAATCCATTAGACACTCATAGTTTATAAGCATAATGGCAATCACAGTCAATGGAGTGGAGAAACTCAACTTTGTTGTGTTCTGAATTCGAAGAAAATATTTATCATAGTCTCTGTTACAGTCCTTAACCGTAGTCCGTAAATGAATAAACTACCCCTCCAGAAACGGAAAACATGGATATTATTATCTTAATGATTAACCTCTCCTTTAATTTTAAACACAGCCATGAAACAAGTTTATTATTGTCAATGGTTTGAACCCCAGTTTAAAGACTGTTTACATTCTTTTATATGAGGCAGAAACACCCTAACTCTCTGATCTCCAGTGATCTTAGAAGGCAATCAGGAATAAAGGCAAGAGACTTAAGTTATTTCTTTTTTGAATGTTTTATCAACAACTATTATTTGATATCCACCTCTCAAAATTTGACTGCATCTTCCCATTCCAGAAAATACTCCAATCTCAACAAGCTCACTTCCTAAATTTCATCTTGATGAGAGTCTACAGATTAGGCTCACATTGCTGCCTGTCTTCTCATACCTGGAAACAAAAATTACTTAACAAAGTAACTCCATTATCTGTTATTTCTATTGTCCTGCATGATTCATCACGTAAATCTGTTTCCAAAATTTAATATTCAATTCAACAAACTGAATCTGTGCTGTAAGTTGTAGGAATCAAAAAGCAATCAAGAGATGGGGATGTTTCCACATTTCTCACAACAGATTTGAAGACATAAGATTTCCACATCCTCTGGAATTCTAAGGTACATAGTAGAAGGAATGAAATGAATCTAAAACAGAAACAATATGCATAAATTCATATTAAATGTATGCCATAAAAGCCATAAAAGTGTTTTAAACACTTATGGGCATGTAAAGGGAGAGGCTGGTTTCCATCTGTGATGGACAGAATAGTAACCCATCAAGATGTGCATGTTCACATCCCCAGAAGCTGAGAATATATTATCTTACATGGCATGTGAATATATTATTTACATGTAAAGATAATATATTGTCTTACATAACTTTGAAGTTTGTAGACATGATTAAATTAAGGTTCTTGAAATGGAAAAGATTACTCAGGATTATCTGAGTAAGCCTGATGCAATTACAAAAGGCTTTTTAGGAGGGTCAGGGTCAGAGAGACAAAGACGACCCACTGCTGGCTTTGCTCAGAGAGGAAAGGACCACAAGCCAAGGGATGCAGGAGGCTTCTAGAATAAGCAAAAGAAAGGAAATGGATTTTCACTTAGAGTGTCTAGAAGGAGTGTAGTCCTGCCAACATCTGGATTTTAACCCAGTGAGATTTCTGACCCACAGAACTCACAGGTGATAAATTTGCATGGTTCTAAGCCAGTCCATTTGTGGTAACCTGCTGCAGTAGCAATAGAAAACCATTAGATCTCATGAGAACTTACTCGCTATCAAAAGAACATGGTGGGGGAAACTGCCCCCACGATTGAATTATCTTTACCTGGTCCCTCCCACTTCATGTGGGGATTATGGGAGCTACAATTTAAGATGAGACTTGGGTGGGGACAAGCCAAACCATATCAATCTTTATGGTGGAAACTTCATATTAGTAAGGAAAAAATATACCTGGAAACAGACTTGAATAATTTTTCTATTGAAAGGATTTGATTCTGGGTCACTGCTACTTTCTTATCCTAAACATATTCTGGCTTAGAAAAAATAGAAATCTGAAAATAAAGAGAAATTGTTTCCCAGAGCAAAAATAAAAGATATATTTTAATATATAAATTCATAATCCTGTTGCACACAATGACAAAGACAAAAGTTTCAAATTGCTAAGCTTCCGAACAATTCTGCAAAATAGTTTAGCTAGCATTCTAAATATTCCAAAAGAATGGCTGACAAATTCTACCCAAGCTAGTGGAACTGTTTTGCTTTTCACATAGCATAGGGATGTAAAAAGAACAAAGAATTAGCTAAAATGGCCTAGTATAAAGAGGGTTAAGAAGAGACAACACTGAACCTGTCTAAGCATAAAATATAACATAAGAGTAGAGGGAGTTCTAATTCTATTAAACACAGTGTCTTCAGTGGGAAAATTGAACGGGTCAAGACTCGTCAGATTGTATTAAGTGAAAGAAGATGGCTAATGGCATGTCACTGAGATCGATGCATGGCCCACCTCTGCCTATCTAGTGGCATGGCTTCCCATCATGGTGCACAGATGTGTAAGTTACAGGAAATTGGAAAGAATAGTTAACTGCCAAGAGGAAGGTTTAAGAAGCACATTCCTCTAAAATGGCCATACAATGCCACTGTAAAATTTTCAGTTTCCAGCAAAGGTTTTATAAAAAAAAGGAAATTAACACTGCTTGCATAAATAATTATATTACAATGCTCTATTATAAAAGCTGATTTGATATTGACTCATTATTTTACATACAAAATTCGTAAGTGCAATGTTCACATGGAAATATTAGCTACTAATACATAGGCTCTAGTCATTAACTGATAGTAAACTGCTATCATTAAATGAATAATATTAGCTTCCACCATTTGCCTTTGACTTTATTGTGTCACTATATTCTTGCAAATAACTTCTGAAGATGGCAACATTAACCCTATTCTACAAATGTGAAGACTGAGTTTTAGGGAGCTTTCACTTGCTGAGGGTCATGCTGCTAAAATGATAGTCGAGTTTATTCTAATCTCAGTTTATCTGATCTTGGAGTTTAAGATTTTTTAACAACTATATGCAAATGCACATACATAGACTGCATAAAGGCAAGTCTATCCTGTATATTTATGTATGTAGGTAGGTATGTATGTAGGTATATGTGCATGTATCTATGTATCTATACACATATTGTTAGTGGGCATCGTTTTTATGTATCTTTCAGAATTGTCCTTCACAAGAGCAATCTGAGGAAGTCATAGGTACTACCCTTCAGGTGTGAATACAGTGGCCTCGGACAAGGAGAGGTTGTGGGTAATAGGGAGGTGTAAGGAGAAAGAAAAATTGCTAGGGTTTTATTTCTACTATGTGAAGGTAAAAAGAAGCAAGGTAGCAACTTAAAGCCCCATGTATCTTTCAAAGCATTCTAAGAGGCACATTAAGCCAAAGTGAGAAATTGATATGGAACCTTACTAAAGAAGTTAGAATTTCCAGACTGAAGAAAATAAGCTGCTAAACCTATCTTCACTTCTTAGGATATGCCAAAATCTCATCCTTTGCCATTGACACAAAACATTTGTTAAAAATACAAAACAGTTTTTCCAATTGTTATAATAATTTCTTTTTTTAACATATATGCTTTATAAGTGTGCTTAAGTCTATGAATGTATGTAAAGATACATATCTTTGTCATGTAGATGCATAAATTTTCTATAACATGGAGACTTTCTGCTCAACAAGATGACAAGGCAAAAACATACTGAAATTCTGATTTCCACAGTGATAGTTTTGGATTCAAATTCTTATTTTTAATAAGTATTATCATATTTATTATAAACATTAAAATATTATTACACATCCCTTAGGATTCATGTGAAAAAATAAAAGAATTAAGACATACATACAGTATCACAATAATGAAAAGAATTATTAGAGCTTCAAAGTTTTTTGTTGTTTGTTTTTTGTAATTCTCAATTTTATTTGAATCATAAAATGGTTTCAGGTGACGTGTGAAAAGAGATATTCTCTGTCCAAGTTATGTGTTCACAGTAGTAAATGGTTATGTAAAGACACCCAAAGGTGAGTGAAATAACACTGTACAATGAATATGTGCTTTCATTGGTGTGTGCATTAAATTACCTCTGATTTCTATTGTGAGTTGACTTAATATGCAAGAGCATCTATCTCTGTACCCTATATCCTAGACAGGCAATATTTTGTAATTAATTCTGCATCTCAATTTATTGGTCACAGGCAATGTCCTGGGTAAGTACAGGCCTGTACATATGAATACAAAGATGGATGAAACTGAAAACCATCATTCTCAGCAAACTGTTGCAAGGACAAAAAACCAAACACCGCATGTTCTCACTCATAGGTGGGAATTGAACAATGAGAACACATGGACACAGGGAGGGGAACATCACACTCTGGGGACTGTTGTGGGGTGGGGGTAGGGGGAGGGATAGCATTAGGAGATATACCTAATGCTTAATGATGAGTTAATGGGTGCAGCACACCAACATGGCACATGTATACATATGTAACAAACCTGCACATTGTGCACATGTACCCTAAAAGTTAAAGTATAATAATAATAAAATTTTTAAAAAAAGATGAATAACAACACATTGTTCTTATTCATGAGAACTTCAGAATATGTACAGGGACAGGGTTAGATGAGATTTCATATGATGACTTAAAGTATTCCTATAAATATTAAAATAAAGATAGGTATAGATTTATTTAGGGGCAAGCAATCTTATCCTTTGATCATGTAGGAAAGGCCATGTTATTTTTCAGAACTCTGCAATAGTTCACAAGTTTACTCAGGGTTAAAGCCAAAACCCTCACAGTAGCCTACAAGGCCTTACAGAAGCTTTTGTGTCATATAGTTTTATGACTCCCATCTCCTACTCTTTCCTTCTGCTCACTCTAAATCAACTCTTTGGGCTCTCAAATATGGCACACATGCTCCTGACTTAGGCTCTTTGTACCAGCTTGCTTCTCCACCTAGACATCAAATTGGAGAGTTAAGCTTATATTTCAGGCAATTTTTTAAATTTTAAGCAGAATAAGTCATATTACATTCATCTTTGAGTAATAGCCCTTGTAACATGGGTGGACTGATGGATGAGCCTTGAAGATAGTGATACTTTGAACTATTAGTGCTGGTGAAGATGAAGTGAAGAAGATGAAGAGAAATTGATACAATTAAATAACAAATCTGCAAATTTTCTCTGTTTGCAGATGACATGATTGTATATTTAGAAAACCCCATCGTCTCAGCCCCAAATCTCCTTAAGCTGATAAGCAACTTAAGCAAAGTCTCAGGATACAAAAATCAATGTGCAAAATTTACAAGCATTCCTATACACCGATAATAGACAGAGAGCCAAATCATGAGTGAATTCCCATTCACAATTGCTATAAAGATAATAAAATACCTAGGAATCCAACTTACAAGGGATGTGAAGGACCTCTTCAAGGAGAACTACAAACCACTGCTCAAGGAAATAAGAGAGGACCCAAACAAGTAGAAAATCAATCCATGCTCATGAATAGGAAGAATCAATAACATGAAAATGGACATACCCAAAGTAATTTATAGATTCAATGCTATTCCCATCAAGCTACCATTGACATTCTTCACAGAATTAGAAAAAACTACTTTAAATTTAATATGGAACCAAAAAAAAGTCCACATAGCCAAGAAAATCCTAAGCCAAAAGAAGAAAGCTGGAGGCATCATGCTACCTGACTTCAAACTATACTACAAGGTGACAGTAACCAAAATAGCATGGTACTGGTACCAAAACAGATATATAGACCAATGAAAAAGAACAGAGGCTTCAGAAATAACACCACACATCTACAACCATCTGATCTTTGGCAAACCTGAAAAAAACAAGCAATGGGGAAAGGATTCCCTATTTAATAAATGGTGTTGGGAAAACTGGCTAGCCATATGAAGAAAACAGAAACTGTACCCCTTCCTTACACCTTATACAAAAATTAACTCAAAATGGATTAAAGACTTAAAGGTAAGACCTAAAACCATAAAAACCATAGAAGAAAACCTAGGCAATACCATTCAGGACATAGGCATGGGCAAATGCTTCATGACTAAAACACCAAAAGCAATGGCAACAAGAGCCAAAATTGACAAATGAGATATAATTAAACTAAAGAGCTTCTGCACAGCAAAAGAAACTATCATCAGAGTGAACTGGCAACCAACAGAAAGGGAGAACCTTTTTTCAATCTATCCATCTGACAAAGGGCTAATATCTAGAATCTTCAAGGAACTTAAACAAACTTACACAAAAAAAACAAACAACCCCATCAAAAAGTGGGTGAAGGATATGAACAGACACTTCTTAAAAGAAGACATTTATGCAGCCAACAAACATATGAAAAAAAGCTCATCATCACTGGTCATTAGAGAAATGCAAATCAAAACCACAATGACATACCATCTCACACCAGTTAGAATGGCGATCATTAAAAAGTCAGGAAACAACAGATGCTGGAGAGGATGTGGAGAAATAGGAATGCTTTTACACTGTTGGTGGGAGTGTAAATTAGTTCAACCATTGTGGAAGACAGTGTTGCAATTCCTTAAGGATCTAGAACCAGAAATACCATTTGACCCAGCAATCCCATTACTGGGTGTATACCTCAAGGATTATAAATCATTCTACTATAAAGGCACATGCACACGTATGTATATTGTGGCACTGTTCACAATAGCAAAGACTTGGAACCAACCCAGATGCCCATCAATGATGGACTGGATAAATAAAACATGGCAAACATATACCATGGAATACTATGCAGCCATAAAAATGTATGAGTTCATGTCCTTTGCAGGGACATGGATGAAGCTGGAAACCATCATTCTCAGAAAAATAACACAAGAACGGAAAACCAAATACCGCATGTTCTCACTCGTAAGTGGGAGTTGAACAGTGAGAACAGATGGGCACAGGGAAGGGAACATCACACACCGGGGCCTGTCGGGTGGTGGGGAGATATGGGAGGGATAGCATTAGGAGAAATACTTAATATAGATGAGGCGTTGATGGGTGCAGCAAACCACCATGGCCTGTGTAAACCTATGTAACAAACTTGCACGTTCTGCACATGCACCCTAGAACTTAAAGTATAATAAAATCATAAATAAATAAATAAACAACAAATCTGTTGCAGATTTAAAAAATTTAGCAATTGAATACAGGAAGCAGATGAAATAAATGAGTTGAGAAATCAGAGGTTTTCTTGGCTAAAAAGATTGGGTATCCATTAATAAGATTAGATAATATAAAGACCATAAAGTGGGGAGCAGTAGATAATGAGTTTAGTGTTACAAGTTGAGTAAATAAGGCAGGGGAATTGAAGAAGGCAATTGAAACTAAAATTTGGAAGCTTGGGGAAAGGAGAATTTGAAGAGACTATTAAGATTAATCAGGAGGTATCTCTGAAGAGTAATAAACTTTTATGAATAGACAACACATAAGTACCATGTCAGGTCTATATATAAAGGGTCATGGAAGATCAGAGAGTGAAATGTATAATACTAGTTGAAGAAATGACTGCACAGACAGGGTTTTGGAGCCTTATAAAAGAGAGAAATTTTATTCAAAAGGCCTTTTACAAAAATATAATTATGCATGCAAATATTACTTCATAACTTGGAAGCAGTTTGCTGTATCTAATACACAGGATTATGTGTTTGGGGATAATCATTAAGACAGGAAAGTTAGACTTAATAAAACCACTACAAAACCTGGCTGCTGTCCTAAAACCTAAATTGATGTGGTAGGTAAGGGAAAGAAAAGAAATTAAGATAATTACAGAGTGATTCAACTATTGGGTAGACATTCTATTTATTAATGTCAGAAAACCAGAAATAAATTCAAGTCTAAACTCAAGTTTGGGTTGGGCAGATATCGAGAGTTTTTAACGAGCAGTTCCCACTAGCTGATATGAACACAGGCAAGTCATAGGAATTGTGTAACATTAAATTTAGGTATTTTGACTTACAGCATGCATATCGTAAATAGACAGCTGGTATACCTTTACCAATAAGACACTAGCACTGTAACTTTTCATTTTAATGTAATTCATTGAAATTTAGCCAAATTTAGCTAAAAATAAGCCAAAATTCGTATAGGTTACTTTGGCTCACACAGTACTTTTTTTTTTTTTTTTTTTTAATGATGAGGATAGTTTACATTACCAGCTGCCAAATCAATTCACTACACTTTGAATGTTTCTTAAAACATTTCCATCAAGCTCTGATGGAGATGAAGCAGTTTGAAGGCATCAGAAAGCAAACTAAGATAGGGGAAAAAGAGCGCATTGAGACAAACCCAATATTTTCCACTACTTATATGTATTCTTTTTCTGTCTTAGAACATTTCTTATCAAGGTAAGACATGGAAATAGAAAATTCTGGCTTACAGTTTGTACTATTCTACCCAGGCTGGGAAAACACAGCAAAAAAAAAAAAAAAAAAAAGAAAACCAGGAATTTGGGACTTGCAAGGCTTTTACACACTGAGGAGTAAAGATCCCTGGGGGGCGGGTTGTGGGGAAGAACCATAGAAAAGTCAACCTGTCATTTTGCTTTGTTTGCTCACAAGGCACATGCCAACATATAAATTTCCAGGAATAAAAGGTTAAATATTCTGCAAAAGTCTGATGCTTAGAGGTTAAAAAGCCTGGCAGAGCATTAATAACCTTGCAGTGTTGAAGAAGAAAAACAACTGAAGCCTAGGAACCATGGTAAGTATATAAAGCTTTGAGTTTAAGTCCTAGGAGGGCTCAGCTCTAGGAGTAGTGCAAACAAGAAGTAGACCAGCCTAAAATTCAGCTTCAGATTAACTCAAATATTAAATGCATGAAGCTAAACATGCTACTTTCCAATAGTTCACTATACAAAAGTTAAATCATCTCTGGAAAAAAATAGTATCATTTACACTTTCTGGGTTGTTTTTTTTTCCACATACATTAAAGCGTTTAATAAAAAATTACCTGGCTGACTTAGGCTTCTTTTTAGGATGTAGAAAGCCATAGGAGAATCTGCATCTACTTTAGTGATGAGAATTGCTAGATAATCTACAAAATCATGATTATAAATCTCAGTAGAGAGCTGAGAATGTAAAGAAATCTAATGAACTAAAATTGATAGAGTGTTGAGCCCATCCTAAGGCAGAACTCATGGCTACTGTCACCCTTGGTGGAGCAGTGAGAATGGAGAAAATCGCCATAGATGTGGGTAAGAAAAAACTTAATAGGAAAACAGCTTAACGTTTAAGGAATTTTCAAAGTTCAAGGGTGAACTGACATGGCAATTTCAAATCCCTGGGAGCCATAGATGGAAAAGAAGATCTGTTTACATTTGTCAACTCTTTTCACCAAATGCTTTTGAGAAAAAATAGGAGTAGGAAAGATACTTGATGTCAGGCCTAGGGTGCATTGAGGGTTTCTTGAAGACTGTTCTGCTGCCGTAATTCTACTCTAATACTGTGCTTCACTGGGTGTTCCTTTTTGCTCTTCTGACACTTTACAGTCCAAGAACCATCTGTTTCCTTGGTAGTGTTAAGGCCTAGGGTTTCTTTTATTCTACTTGCTCAACCATTATTCATCAGCAAGCACTGAGATGATAGCAGTGCCTAAGACGAAACATTTAGACACTCAGAACCCAAGCCCCGATAAAGGAAGGCTTATGATTTCACCTTCAAATTATTTGAAAATTATAGTGAACTGACCCTAAATAATGCAAAACAGAACACAAACACAGATCCGCAGATTGGCCAGTCCTCCACACCAGCAGCCTGACAGATGGGGTGTGCCCTTTTCTGGATATAAATGTTTTTACAAACTGAGCTGTTCTTTTACCAAAATATTCACCATTCATCAAAAGCCACTAGACACGGGACCTCCAACTTTAGCCAGGATCAGGTAATGAAGGCTGTTTATTTCTAAGAAGAAAGCAAGATGATTCCTACAATTGCTCAAGCTTACTACATGTAGAATGTTTACAGACCACAGTGAAGGAAGGAAGAATTCAGAAAGCACCGGCCAGGTGATTACAGTTTGCAGGGCAGAGTACCAAAGAGGAGAGAGCTGCACAGAGATGGAGCTCCAGAAATCTGCAGAGGGCCCCTTCCTTATTCAGTTGAGTGCTGATCAGTACACAAATGTGAGGAAACTAATGACAGCTGCTGTAAAACCATTCAAACCCAGAGATTTCTTGCAACCAGAAATAAAGCCTAGCACCACCAGCTAGGAGAAAATCTTATAAGATACAGGACATTGAGTGGAGTACAGCTAAGAGTCTTGCCTCAGAAGTGTGTGACAACTAACTTTAGAACAAAAACAATCTTCACCTAGAAAAAGCTTAAAAACAAAACCCAAAGGATTACACAGTTTATAAGTAACTCAACCACATCCAAGGATGTTTATAGCAATACAAAAATATCTAAGAAGTCTTGATTAAATGATCACTTGACTCAGAATACGTCAATGAATTTTGCTCACATTACCACGAAGCATATTATCAGTAAATTATTAACTGACTGACTTTATGTAATACGATGTACTTTGTGTTGAATTCACTAAAGTCCTTCCATTTATATACCATGATGTTTTTTAACTTTTATTTTAAGTTCGGGGTACATGGGCAGGTTTGTTATATAGGTAAACTCATGTCATGAGGGTCTGTTGTGTAAATGATTTCATCACCCAAGTACTAAGCCTAGTAACCCATTAGTTATTTTTTCTGATCCTCTCCCTCCTTCCACCTCCACCCTCAAGTAGATCCCATTGTCTCTTGTTCCCCTCTATGTGTCCACGTGTTCTCATCATTTAGCTCCCATTTATGAGAACATGTATTTGCCACTATTTTTTAATGGCATGCTGAAGGCTTTAACATTTTGTGAGTCTTAAATTTGACTCTTAAATGGCAAAATAATGTTCATATGTAGAAGGTTAAATTTCATCTATAACACAAGTGGTGCTGATGTCCAACATTTTAAGTAAAAATATTTACACTCTCTCACTCTTTTTTTTTTTTTCAAACTTTTAACATCAGAACTTTTTTCTTGGGGAAAAAATAGGGCTTGACTTTGTATACAAATTTTAACTGTAAAATACAGTCTTACCTTATATGCACGTATAAAATCAAAGCTGCTAGTGCTTTTTACTTTAGTTATCCTGTTAAAAGTATATGTCAACGATGTTTTCAACTGGATCTCGGTCATTTAAATTATGCTTGAAATAATTGATTACTAGACATATGATAAAACCAATAGATCTTGATTATACAATAAAATATCAATTCATTGGTAGTCTGAATCAATTATTTCAAATGTACCTTATTAATAAAAATATCAGTAGATCCAACATAGAATTGTATAGTACTAAATGTAAAGTCTAGCTATGAATTTTTTTCTGCATCTTAGGTAAATTTATAAGTTTCATGAGCTATCAACAAAAAGATTGCACTTTTGTGAACTATAAATTTTCTAAGTAAAATTTACATGCTAGAACATGATTTTTACATGAATGATGCTTTGTTGAAACTATAAAATGTCAGTATTGTACCACAATTTTATTATAAAATGAACATTATTACTAAAGAAAATTTGATCTTAAACATCAAAGTTTTATATTATTTTTCACAAGTAAAGATAGACTTGGTTAAGGGCTAAAAATATCTGTCAATCATCAAACAAGATAAAATTTACAATGCCTAGAATCTAATAAAAGAATCCATGCATGTGAAGAAGCAAGCAAATAAAACACATAATGAGGAATAAAATCACCTGGAACTTGCCAACATATGACACAGACAATGGAATTGGCTGACTAAGGCATTGAAACAATTATTAACACTGAATTCTATGTGTTCAAGAAACTAGAAAAATAAATGTAATATACAAAATACATACAAAAAGATTGAAATCAGATATTATAAATTAACCTATAATATCTGAAATAAAAAATATGCTGAATGGGCTTATCAGCAGACTAGACATTGCAAGAGAAAAGATTACTAGAACTGAAGACATGGCAAAAGACTATATTCAAAACAAAAGAAAAATGAAAGTAAAAAAGAAGATTAGTGAGCTATGAGTTAGTCTAGGTAGTCTAATGTACTTTTAATCCTAGTCTCTGAAAGAGAAAGAGAACACAAACAAACACTACTCGAGGAACCAATGACAAACAACTTTCTAAATTTGATGAAAATTAAAAATTCACAGATACTAGAAGCTCAAAGTCAAAATACATCAAAATCAAGTTGTAGTGATTAAAAAAAAAGTCTTAAAAGCAGCCAGAGAAAAAGACACATTATGTATAGAGGCAAAAAGGTAAAAAAGGCAAGCTTCTTATTGGAATTAATCCAGGCTAGAAGAGAACTAGGGATTTTTTTCAATACAGAAAAAAAAAAAGTGTCTGCCAATCTAGAATGCTTTACCTGGTAGTAATATCTTACAAAAAATTTTTTTTTAAAAAAGCAAATAAGGAATTATTCAAAAATAAAAAGGTAAGTATTCATCACTACGGACCTGTACTACAGAAAGAGTTTAAGTAAATCCTAGCAAAATAAAAATTATACCAGATCAAAATCTAAATCTACTACCCAAAGAACAAAAAGCATAGAAAATTGTAACAATGGGGACAAGTATTAAGGTATATTTTCTAATTATTTAAATTTCTTTAAATATAATTGTTAAAAACTAAAAACAATATGTAGAAGAGTTTATGACATTTGTAGAAGTAAGATGTATGACATCAACAGCACAAAGCCCTTGAGCAGGGAACAGGAGTACACTCTTGTAAGTGTCTTCTACAATAGCTAAAGTGATACAATATCACTTAAAAATAGACTGCCATGAGTAAAGGTGTATATTATAAACCTCACAGCTTCACTAAAATAACTCAATAAAGAGGCATAGCTAATAAGCCAAAAAAGGACATGAAATGGAGTGTTTAATCTAGAATCAAAAGAGATCAAAAACAAATTAGGAGAAAAAAGAAGATAGTAGATTTAAAACCAAACATCCTAATAATCATTTTAGCTGGGCACAGTGTTCATGCTTATAATTCTAGCACTTTGGGAGGACTGGGTGGAAGGATTATTTGAAGCCAGGAGCCTGGGCAAAAAAAGGCAAGACCACATCTCTATAAAAAATAAAAATAAAAATAAAAATAAAAATTAGAGGCTGTGGCATGAGCCTGTAGTACCAGCTAGTTGGCAGGTTGAGGCAGGAAGATCATTTGAGCCCAGATGTTCAGAGGCTGCAGAGAGCTATGATTGCACCACTGCACTCCAGTCTGGGCAACAGAGTGAGACCTCATCTCTAAAAAGTAAACAAGTAAATAAATAAATAAAATAACTACTTTAAATATAAGTGGTCTAAAAATTCCAGTTTATAGGTAGAAATTATCAGATTTGATTACCGAAATAAAAGCAAGACTTACTACATGTTTTCTATATTCCTTCCTTCAAAATATTCATTTAAAATATTAAGACAGGCCTGGCGTGGTGGCTCATGCTTGTAATCCTAGCATTTTGGGAGGCTGAGGTGGGTGGATCACCTGAGGTCAGGAGTTTGAGACCATCCTGGGCACCATGGTGAAACCCTGTCTTTACTAAAAATACAAAAATTAGCCAGGTGTGGTGGCGCATGTCTGTAGTCCCAACTACTTGGGAGCTGAGGCATGAGAATTGCTTGAACCCAGGAGGCAGAGGTTGTAGTGAGCCAAGTTAGCGCCACTGCACTCCAGCCTGGGTGACAGAACAAGATTCCATCTCAAAAAAAAAAAAAAAAAAAAAAAAAAAAATATATATATATATATATATATATATATACACACACACACATATATATATAGACAAAGGTTAAAAGTAGAAGAATGAAAAAAGAGATACTATGCTAGTGTTTATTAAGACAAGGCTAAAAGTGGTCATATTGTCAGAGGAAATACATTCTTAGAGCAGAGAATATTACCAGAAATAAATAGGTCCATTTCATCATCTATTTATCTACCTACTTACCCAACAATCAATCTATATATTTTTCTATCAGTCAATCTACTCCTTTAACTCAATTAGAAAAAAATTAGACAATCCAATAAAAAAGACAAAATATCAGGCACCTTATCTAAGAGGATATCTAACATCATTAGTCAGTAGAGAAATGTGAATTAAAACCATACAGAGGTGCATTATACACTTACCAGATGACCAGAATAGAAGCAAACAAATAAACGAAACCTACATTCTAATTGCTGCCAAAGATTAGGAGGAATTTTTCGTATAATTTGAGGGGGAATATAAAATAGTACAGTTATGTATTGCTTAATGATGAGGATACATTCTGAGAAATGTGGTGTTAGGCAATTTGATCATGCAAACATCACAGAATATATTTACACAAACCTAGATGGTGTAGTCTACTACACACCTAGGCTATATGGTATAGCCTATTTATTGCTCCTAGGCTAAAAACCAGTACAACATGTTACTGTACTGAATATTACAGGCAATTGTAACACAATGATAAGAATGTGTACCTAAACATTAAAAAGGTAGAGTAAAAATATGGTATTATAATCTTATGGGACCAACGCTGTATATGATCTAAAGCTCATTATGCAGTTTATGACCATCCAATCACTTTGGAACACATACATACTATTTATATTAGCCCATTCTCACACTCCTATAAAGACATAACTGACACTGGGCAATTTATGAAGAAAAGAAGTTTAATAAACTCACAGTTTCTTAGGCTGTACAGGCTTCTGCTTTTGGGGAAACCTCAGGAAATTTACAATCATGACTGATGGGTGAAGGGGAAACAAGTGCATCTTACATGGCAGGCAGGAGGAAGAGGGAGTGAAGGGGAAAGTGTGACTGTGACACACTTTCAAACTACCGGATCTCATGAGAGAACTCACTATCCCGAGAACAGCAAGGGGGAAATCTGCTCCCATGATCCAGTTGAAATGGGAAAAGTTCCTCTGTCCCCCTCACAGGGTGTATGACAGGCGGAGTGGCTTGCTTCTTCAGTGCCCTGCTGCTCAGACCTCTAGGGGAGCATACAGACAGGCAGGTTGTGGGGCTCCAACCCCATGGCAACGTCTAGGGGTGGATGTTGACAGTGCCTGAAGCCCCAGTGGGTGTGCGTTACAGGGTGCTCTTTCACTTTTCCTGTCTATAGGTGGCTTGTGTTAACCAGCTCAGTTAGTCCCTCTACCCTGTCACAAGGACAGAGGGCTTTCTGTATCTTGGGTTCTTGCCTTGGTGTACTGGAAGAATCAGATCACACCTGGTCTTGGAGAATGAGTGCAAGGTTTTATTGAGTTGAGCTAGCTCTTAGCAGATAGGGGAAGCCAGATGGGGATGGAGTGGGAAGGTTTTCCCCTGGAGTCAGGTTGCTGAGTCACCTGGGCTCTCTTCTGACTGCCCCTGCCAAACTCCACATTGTTCTGCTGGTGGATTGCCTGCCGGCTTGCAGTGCCTGTTGGTGCATTCCTCTCAACGTTCAGCTGCCTCTGTGTTCTTCGGCTGATGTGCTCCTCTTGACATCCAGCTGCCTATGTATCTGCCTGCTAGGGTGTCATGGGTTTTATTTATTTATTTATTTATTATTATTATACTTTAAGTTTTAGGGTACATGTGCACAATGTGCAGGTTAGTTACATATGTATACATGTGCCATGCTGGTGCGCTGCACCCACTAACTTGTCATCTAGCATTAGGTATATCTCCCAATGCTATCCCTCCCCCCTCCCCCCACCCCACAGCTGTCCCAGAGTGTGATGTTCCCCTTCCTGTGTCCATGTGTTCTCATTGTTCAATTCCCACCTATGAGTGAGTCAGGGGTTTTTATAGGCACAGGATGGGGGCGTGGCAGGCCAGGATGGTCTTGGGAAACGCAACATCTGGGCAGGAAATGCCTGTCCTCACCTAGGTCCCTGCAGGTGGAGCCCTAGCCAGGGACCATGCCCTCCTCTACCCAGCACTTCCCTTAACCCTGCTCCCCAACCCCTATCATTTAAAGGGACCATGCCCTTCCCTTCGCAGCACTTCCATATCACAGTCACCTCCCACCAGGTCCCTCTCCCAACATTGGGGATTACAATTCAACATGTGATTTGGGTGGTGACACAGAGTCAAACCATATCATACTTCAAACAGGCATTTCTACTTTGAGGTTATGACCGACAAAAAGGTAATCAAATATGTGTCAAATATATTCATATCAGGTAGTTCGTAATAATCCAAACTGGAAATGTATTCAAATACATACCTACTGTATGACTCCCTTAGTATACATTTTAAAACAGACAAAATTAATCTGTGTTGTGATAGGTCATAGTTGTGGTTTCCTTTAAAGGGTATAATGACTGTGATACAGGAAGCTTTTAAGATGCTAGTCAAGTTCAAATTTGATCTGTGTTGTAATTAAACAAGTATATTCACTTTTCAAAAATTAATTGACTTGATCCATTTATGAGTTGCATATTTTCTGCATGTATGTTTTATTTCACTAAAATCTATATTTAAAAATAAATGATCTAAACAATATTCAAAATCAAACTTTTCTAGGAAAAAGTCCTTCAACATTTTTATTGAACTTTTTTATTCTAACTTTTGATAGAACAATTATTTTCATACAAAAAACTGTAAGGGACATACACATTTAAGACACAGAGACGTATTTGCCACTTTGTTCCTGAAAAATAAAATATTTTAAAATGTAGTTTCTATGGTCCTGAAAGAAACACAATGGTCATTTTTTTTTAAAATAAAAAGCATTGGCACTTTGATATAGAAATTAAATATGAAAAAATAATAAAGACAATTTAGTGTCATAAGGAAAAAGCTACATCATTGTAAAATGTAAATAACATAATACATATTTAATCACAAAAACTATTCAGTCTTCCCTCCTTCCATTAAACACTTTAATTTCAAAGTGAATAACACACTCCCACTGAAAGAATCATTTTGCATTTATATGCTTGTGTTTTTTCTCTTATTAACTATTGCATGGAATGGGTCAAAATGGTTTCTAGTCTTTAATTTTGCACAAATTATTTTGGGAATTACCAGAGTTTACAATGCATACCAACGTTAAAAAAGACAGAGAAGAAGAATGTTGTTAAATGTTTCATGATTGGTACTTCCAGTTCTGCTTGGGTGTAAATACAAATGACGCCCTATCTCTGATTATGGACTATGAGTCTTACACACTTGAATAGGCTTGGCTTCTTCCTGTTAACTTCTGACCTGTGTGAAATCCCATAAATGTCACATCTGCCACAGCCCCTTTCCCATCTTGCATGCTTTCAGTGGACCCAAATGTTCATCATTATCAAATGAGAAAATGTATATGGAAGTGTTTTAAAAATTATAAACCACTAAAGAGGTAGGTAAGAGGACCTTGGTTTCTGACTTAGCAAATTAGGACTTTCAGGAACTCTTGGAGAAAGGAATGATGTTTATTGGAAGACAAAGGCTTACTTCACAAATAATTCTCAGAGACGAGGTGGGACTGAGCCATTTCAGGGGCTGAAGGATGTGAGGATGGGTTACTTTGTAACACTCACATTTTCTCTGGAGACTGTGCAAATTTGGGTATAGAGGAGGAAACCCTAAGAAAAGAAGTGGCTTTCTCTTACAGATATGGGCAAGAAGTTTTAGAAGTTTAGGGGATGAATAGTAATAAACCTGGGTCAATGGTGTCAGTTCTCTGGGTTTTTGCTTAAAGACAACGCCAAGAAATGTTGTGATAAAATTATTAGAAAATTACCTAAGCTTTACTGGACTCTGAACCCAGAAAATGAATAGCCTTGATTTTTCTCAAAATAGGATCATTCTATGTAATCGACTTCCCTAAATGTAAACCTTTCCCTTTCCTCCCAATGACATGCTCCCCACCCACAATAAATAGAGATATTAACACTCAGGAAGAAAGATGATCCGGCAATTAAAGCATTTAGATATCATTAGGTGCTCAATCTGTTTCTTCCTGTTATTGAGAAATTCCTATCTCGGTGGACGAAATATCCAAAAACAATCACTGCAAAAAAGAACTTTAAGTAAAATCAGATATAAGAAACTAAAATGTTGAGAAGCACTGAAGCTTCATGAATAATTCTTGAATACCATGGTGTGAATGCTGCCTTGCTCAACTCAGTCTTTCAAGACGTTAGTTTCATGTTTTATTTAAGCTCAACATAAATGTTAACGTGGTCCTCATCAGATTCCTTTTATCTAACTCTGAAGACTGATGTGTTGATGTTGTAATATGGAAAGAGGGCCTTGGGGATGGATTTTAAATACCCATCCAGGTATTCTGTAAGGAGTCACAAATGAATTCCTTTTCCAGGAACTGAGTTGTAAATTTGTTTGTCTCTGTGCACCACCTCAGCATACACATCTGCTGATCACTGTTAATTAGTCTCCTATTGTCCAATTTGTAATCTAGATATGTTTTATGGAGATGTAACTGGTGAAGCATCGTTGCGTGTAATCTTTCTCTGAAAAGATTCTGTTGAGCAAGTGACCAATAAAGTGTATGCAATGCAAACATTAATCAAAGAGAATGTCATTAAAGCTTACTATAGCAGTCTTCATTAAGAAAGAAAACTAATCTAACTACTATTATCCTATCTTCCTTATGAATTGTTACTATTATGATGATTTTATGATTTTACTAGTCAATAGCCCTCATGGAATATTTGGCTTACTTACAAATTTAGTTTTGGACTTCAAGTCACCTGTAAATCAATTAGTTTTGTTTCTTAGCAGAAAATCTGCTTTGAGCTACAGTGTTCTGTTTGGTAATTAGTATTCCTGGTTATTCTGAACAGTGTATTGACATTGGATTTGAACATTAGGGAAAGAAACAAAGGATATATTTTCATGGTGTATATATTTGGATCGTTCCTACTAAAACATTACTTCATTAGTGTCAAGAGTTACTTAATGGGCACCTGATACAAGCCTTAGTAACTTTTATGTGTTGCTTAAATAAAAAAGTAAATCATGAAACTAACATACAGATAGACTTCACATTTAGCAATGCACCAGTCATGCTAATTGTCCTTAAGGATGATGCTTCTAAGATCTCCTGCAGTTTAAGTTCACAGCTTATCATTTATATATTAAGAAAGTGGTTCACAGGGGTTCTGGCCAGTTCTTCCCAGAATACAGTTTACTAGGTTGCACAGACAGGATGTTTGTAAAGTAAATGGGCATCCGCTGAGGTGAAACTCTTTATTCGTGGTTGGTAAAGGAATGTTTCTCTAGGCCAAAGGCCAACAGTATTAACAATATATTGTACTACACAGAACCTAGCCAGAATACATTATTTAATAATTTTGTGAAAAAGAAATTGGTCTTGGCACTTTAGATTTTTAGACCTCAAAAGCACAAATGTCTAAAACAAAGATAGACAAATGGGACTATATTAAACTAAAAAACTTTTGTACAGCAAAGGGAACAATCAGCAGAGTGGAGAGACAATCTGTTACATGGGAGAAACTATCTGCAAACCATTCATCTGGTAAGGGACTAATATATAGAATGTATAAGAAAATCACACAACTTAATGATACAAATACACAATTCCATTAAAAAGTAAGCACAGGACATGAATAGACAATTCTCAAAAGAACAAATACAAATGGCTAACAAACACGTGAAAATAAATGCTCGACATCACTAACCATCAAACAAATGAAAATCAAAGCCACAATGAGATACCATCTTACTCCATTTAGAATGGCCATTATGAAAAAGACGAAAAAATAACAGATGCTGTCAAGGATGTGGAGAACAGGAAACTCATACACTTTTAGTGGGAATGTAAATTAGTACAACCACTATGGAAAACAGTATGGAGATTTCTCAAAAAACTAAAAGCAGAACTTCAGTATGATCCAGCAATCTCACTACTGTGTTTTCCAAAGGAAAATAAATCAGTAATCAAAGGGGTACGTGCACTTGCAATGTTTATTGCAGCAATATTCACAATAGCAAAGATACAGAATCAATCTAAGTGTCCATCAACAGACAAATGGATAGAGAAAATGTGGTATGTATATATACGCACAATGAAACACTATTTGGTCATAGAAAAATAATGAAATCATGTCATTTGCAGCAGCATGGGTAGAACTGGAGGTCATTACGTTAAGTGAAATAAGCCAGGCACAGAAATACAAATATCACATGTTCTTACTCATATGTGGGAGCTAAAAACCTTGATCTCATAGAGATGAAGAATAGAATGATATATACTATAGGCTGAGAAGGGTGTGAAGGTGGGAGGAAAAATTAAAGGGATGTTGGAGAATAGTTACAAACTTACAGTTAGATAGAAGAAATAAGTTACAATTTTCTACATCAGAGTAGGATGACTATAGCTAGGAACAATAGTTGTATGTTTCAAAGTAGCAACAAGAGAGGCCTTAAAATGTTACCAACACATAGAAATAAGTTACTCAGGTGATGGATACCTCAAACACCCTGACTTGATCATTATGCATTCTATGCATGTAAAAAAATACTCAAAGTTACCCCATAAACGTGTAAAATATTAAGTGTTAACAAAAGAAATGAAAAAAGAAAGCCAGATGCAGTGGCTCATGCCTGTAATCCCAGCACTTTGTAAGGCTGGGGTGAGAAGATTGCTTGAGCCCAGGAGTTTAAGACTAGACCAGGCAACAAACCAAGAACCGATATCTACCAAAAATTTAAAAATTAGCCGGGCGTGGTGGCATGCATTGCACTTGTAGTTACAGCCACTTGGGAGGCTGAAGTGGAAGGATCTTTGGAGCCAGGAGTTCAAGTTTGCAGGGAGTTATGCCACTGCACTCCAGCCTGTCTCAAAAAAAGAAAAAGAAAAAACAGTATTTAGTTTAGTGATTGTCTTTCCAGGGTTATTTGGTTTGAACTAACAAATGCATTTTAACTATGGCCAAATTATTGACTCCCTGAGCCATAATTTACAATGTGATTTTCATTTGATTGAACTTTACAAGGCTGCAGGATTTGGAATCCAAAATGTCAAAACCTACCATCTGCCTATGTGTTTTGAAGACAACAAGACAGTGAATGCTTTGGGTTGTGTTTCCTTATGACATGAGAACTGCTCACTCTCTTCTTATGCCTCTTCATTGTCTGAAGATGGAAACTGTGCTCTTGTAGAAGGTAGATGAATTTATGAGTCCAACGGGCTGAATCTAGATGCAAGGCTAAGCAAGATCTCTTTATTATCATTAAGATTAATAAATTATAACAATGGCTGCTAACATACATTGAGGACTAACTTTGGACTAGACAGTTTGCTAAATACTTCCTGTGGACTCAATTAACCATCGAAATAACTGTATGAGTTTGGAACTCTTATCACTTAAATTTTCTAAATATGACAGGCTAGTCACAGAGAAATCAATTAACTTGTCTGAGGTCACATAAATAGAAGTTACGGATTTGGATTTGAAATTAGGAACATCTAACGCCAGTGCCACGGCCAAGCATTTAATCTGTTACCATATTACTGCTACTTTTCTACATAGTCCACATATTAGAATTCAGTCAAGAAATGGTTGAGATATTTGAAACCATTTGTCATAAGTGATGGGGCCTATGAAATTTTCAAGGTATCATATTTGAAGTATATTTGCTTGACTCATGAGTCATTTCAGTCACAGCATAGAACAAAATGGGAAGGATGACACTGGGCAACACATCTCTTTCCTCATTCCTACTCTTTCTAGTTATGTGAACTTACGCAATTCCCTTGACCTTCTTGGACTGCAGTTGGCCTCATCTTTATAAATGAAGAGACTAGACTAAACTATGTCTAATTCCTTTCCAAGTCTGACCTTCTGTTTCTACAAAACCATATCCTTTATATTCACACAGGGACAAAGACATAAAAATAATAGTAAAATAAATGTGTGTAAATACCCTTACAGATTTGCTAACCTTGCACTCCCTGAATAGCATCTTCATTGCATTGCCTGAAATATCATCATGCATTTTTTCCCCTCAGCCCTTTTTGACACTTGCTAATTAGAAAAAAAAAATGCCATTCTAAGTGAAAGGGGCCTCTTCATCTTCCACTTCACTGTATGACTCCTGGGCTCAAAGAAACATTTTTATGGGCATTTTTTAATATGCTACTGTTTTAACTTCTTGACCTTGTCTTGGGCACTTTATTTTCTGTCTTCAGCTCCAATATTCATTAGTAACACTGTGACAAAAAAGAATATGAATGGCATTAGGAAATTGAGCCCTACTCAAGCTAAGAAAACTATGCTAATGCTCACACATTGAAATAGAGCAAAGACGTTTGATGTTTCTATACCAAGGGCTGGTTTCAAATGATTGTAAAAATGTGCTGAGACTTTTCATGTGAACAGTACGTTTAAAGACAAACTCATTTTTAAAAATAACAATAAATGTGGAGCTTACTTCTCCACCCCAAGCTAGAACTTCATTATGGGCCAAATATATTATTGGGACTGGTATGGAGCATGACATACTAAATGTTCTGACCATTGTAACATATGCATAGATAATATATGGCTCATACAACTTTCATAACCCTCTCTGCTGATTCTCTTCTAATATCTCTCTAAAGACATCTGTGGTATCATTCTTCATTTATTTTGCATGCTGCTTTCACCCATTGTGGATAAACATGAATATAAAATTCTAGAAGTACGAATAGTTATATTTGCTGATGCTTGGTGAGGTTTTAATAAAATATACATGACACCAGTGGTATGTATCTGGGAGTTATATGGCAGTGAAGAAATCCAGAGATAATTATAATCTTTTATGCTGATGGAGGAATTAGCACCTCAGTAATAAGCAATGTGAAGTAGCATAGACAGAGTTTTCTATTCGCCCTTGAACCATTTGATGTGAATGCAAATAACTAACACATATAATTCTATTTTTTATGGCCCTATTCAGGAAAATAAATCTAGATGGAAAGAAAAGAGGGCACTTGTATAAGTTTAGTGGAGAAAATCCTCAAGCTAGTTAATAATTGTTGCCTGCATCTTTCACCTGAATACAAGGGTTTCAAAAATGAAGTCTATTTGGTGGCTTAACAAAGAAATTCACTTCCTTTCACTACTCCACCAGTGTCTTTCAGTCTTGTGTATAAAAGAAAACTCCTGGTTTACCATGAACTACATTCTTTGAAGGCATCTTATTCCATTTTGTACTGCTATAACAGAATATCTGAAACTGGGTAATTTATAAAGAAAAGAAGTTTATCATCTCACAGATCTAGAGGCTGGGAAGTTCAAGATCAAGGTACTAGTATCTGGTGACAACCTTCTTTCCCATCTTCACATGGTGGAAGATAGAAGGGCAAGAGAAAGCTAATGCTGTGTCCTCACATAAAAGAAGAGCAGAGAAGGGAGAACTCACCACTGCAAGCTCTTTTTATAGAGACATTAATCTATTCAAGAGAGCAGAGCCCTCATTAGCTAAACACCTCCCAAAAGGCCACACCTCCCAATACTGTTGTATTGGGGGTTAAGTTTCAACAAAAGTTTGGAGGGAACAAAAACATTCAAATCATAGCAGTAGGTTATTTATTGATGCTGCCTAGATTTCTTGAATTTGTAAAATTAAATCAAATGCACACGTATAATTTGTGACTTCAGAGATACAAGGGCCATTTCCAGTGACAGACATTTCCAGTTTGGTGAAGATTAAGACGTCTGAATCATTACACAAGACCATGCTTACAGCACTTAGCAGACCAGGAATAAATGAAGTCTTTGCATTGGGAAAAGAGATCATTGTATCATAAAATCTGGCGAGGTATACAGTGCCATGTTAACAGTGGTTGCTTTTGTGTCTTCAGCATTTTTTTCATATTTGATACAGTTGCTCTATAACTTTCTATAACAAATTTACAAAAATCACAAAGTCTATTAAAAACAAGTTAACAAAATTAATGATGGCTTTGTGCCAGTAAGTGTATCTTTCTTTCATTGCTCAACTCTGAAAAACTGTGAGTATGTGGTATGCTATTCATTGACATGTATAAAATAAAAATACATAGTATGTACCATGTACCAGATACTGAAGAAGGTCTATGTGTGAATTAACTTGTATCGGTATGGTATTTCTGAAAAATAGTCCTTATTTTCCTGTATTTCTGGTAAAAAAAAAAAAAAACAACAGAGATTCAGAAACTGTGTAACTTGTAAGCAGCAGAAAAACTAGATCTATTAAAATCTGTGATCAATCATTTTCAACATTCTTTTTTATTTTTTTCTTAGAGGACACTCAAGAGCATGCTCTACTGATGTACCCTTCTATGGGTAACTCAAGGCCATAGTGTGACCAGAAATATTTAAGTCGCTTTTGCAGTTCATTTTCATTTCAGGGGAAGCTTGCTCTTTCTTTTTTTTTTCCTTCTTTCTCTTTCTTTCTTTCTTTCTTTCTTTCTTTCTTTCTTTCTTTCTTTCTTTCTTTCTTTCTTCTTTCTTTCTTTCTTTCTTTCTTTCTTTCTTTCTTTCTTTCTTTCTTCCTTTTTTTGATGGAGTCTCACTCTGTCATGCAGTGGCGTGATCTCAGCTCACTGCAACTTCTGCCTCCTGGGTTCGAGTGATTCTCCTGCTTCAACATCCTGAGTAGCTGGGATTACAGACGCCCACCACTGCACCCGGTAAATTTTTGTATTTTTGGTAGAGAGGGGGTTTCACCATCTTGGCCAGGCTGGTCTTGAACTCCTGACCTCGTGACCCACCCGCCTCAGCCTCCCAAAGTGCTGAGATTACTGGCATGAGCCACCGTGCCTGGCCTCAGGTGAAGCTTTCTAACCAATGTTACTTTATGTTATTGTATTTCTTTAACATTTTTACACTGAAATCTATTAACTGGGGTCGGCCATATGATTGTGGTGGATGGCACACCACTTGCAATTTTGGTCATCTAGTACTGGCTTACCAAATAATGATGGAGGAGATTTTTAAAAATCAATGCATCCCATTATTATTAAGTCAATTCTGCCTCTTATAACTTTAATATTTCACTCCTAAGTATATTATGTGGAATCACATAAATGTCTCTTGCATGGGATAAATATTTTGTTCTATTGCAGTATTTAAATGTTTTAACCATGACCCTCACCAGCTCAGATACTCTCAGGGTGTCTAACATGGAGATAAGCAGACGTAATTTATGTGTCTCCTCCTGAATAATGGTTTTTGCATCCTCACCCCCTTGTTAGCAGAAAGGTAGAGCAATAGCTAAAAGTGTGGGCTCGAAGGTTGACCCAACTGGCCTGTAGCCTGGCTCTGCCATAATGGCTCTGTGACCTTTGGAAAATGACTTACCTCTGTTTACCTCCCTGCTTCATTGTAAAAGAGAGACTAAACTATGGCAATTGCCTTGCAGAGCTGTTGTTAAAACAATGAAATAAAGTAATTTACAGGACATATATGTACTTGGTATGCTCATTGTTCATATTTTTACTATTGTTGCTTGCCTTTACACCTAGTTTTGATTGTCAAAAACCAACATAAAGCAAGCAACCTTTGAAAGTGTAGCACCACTTCCATCTCAGAGTGTTCTTTAAAACCATCTTGATCAGGGAGTATTACATATTATTGGAAGAAAAGGTAAAAATTGAATTGGGTATCTACCCTCTGTACTCTCTGTCCTCAGCCCACTGTACATGGTACAATGAGAACACTTATAGAAAGTGTTGCAGTTTCTGTTCTCTGCTATAGCTATTCAACTCTGAGCCCTTTCAGAGTTGGAACTGTATCTTTTTTCTATTCCCACACGAAGTACTTGTTATACCAGTTGAAAATATTGAATAAGTATGTAATTGTTATAATTGATAGGGTCTGGTATAATCAGAAGAAGAAATTAAAACAAAGTCACAATCTCTAGGGTCCCCTTGACCAAAAGGAAGATCCATTTGGTCAGTTTTGGGGCTTAGCATTTTATTTTTGATTTACAAAGTACCAAGAAGAACTGTCTTCACCCAACTGTTATGAGCAAAGTCCCTCAAATTGTTGATTGTAATAAGCAATGATGTATTTATTTTTACCTGAAAATGTTGAGTTAATTGTAAGGTAGGAGAGTGCTAGAATGATAAGCAGTAATAATGTAGTACTAAATAGTTTGATTTTTTTTTTACATTTCTCATGTTGCACTTTTATGAAACAACCTACACCACGGCTGCTACTTTAAAATGCAAAGCATGTGTCTCATTAACAAAATCGAATTTGAAGCAAACCAAGGCCTTTTATTTCTTGAGTCAGCAAACTATTTTGGGGTAAATGAGGCTTTTGGTGGGAAGTGCAAAAAACATTTCTGAGAATCAAAGTCTATGATCATTTTATTTTTTCTTTGTATAATTCAAAGGCTGAATTTGATTACTTATTCAACTAATAAGTTAAAAGTAGTGCAGTACATTTTAAATGTGACATAGACTCAGATGAAGAGATATCAACCTGCACAGAATTGCTGTAAATCACATGCTGCTGTGTTTAGTTCAGCAGTTCTGTGTTTATACCTTGCCTTACTCTGTTCAGGCTGCTGTAACAACATATCATAGACTGGGGGTGTTTATAAACAATATACATTCATTCTCACATTTCGGGAGGCTGGAAAGTCATCAAAATTAAAAACCCAAACTCTGTGAAATAGCCTTTTAGCTGGATAAAACAAGAAAGTAAATACCAGAAGAAAATATTTGCAAATCATACATCTGACAAGAAGGTGTGAGGAAGTCTCCAAACACAACTGTATTATCTAAAGGAAAAAAAATGATTACAAAATAAACCAAAGACATAGAACAGGCGTTTCATCAAAAAAGAGGACATAAAAGATGGCAAATAAGTAGATGACAATATCTTAGTTATATCATGGGAATGTAAATTAATATCATAGTGAGACAGGTCACATTCATCAGAATGCCTTAAACAAAATATCAGAAAAGAATCAAAGGCTGGTGTGGTTCTGGGGAAACCAGGTCACTCGCATATTGGTGAAGGTCATATATAATGGTCCAGCCACTCTGGAAAACAGTGTGGCCTTTTCCAGACAACAACAAACAAGCAAACAACGATGTCCAAGTACCCTACAAACAAGCAACTCAAACACCCCAGCATTTATTCCCAGAGAAACGAATGCATTGTGCAGTAAACGGTTGACACAGCAGGTTTGCCATGTTCAGAACCTGAACATTCCAAAGACAGGTCTGGCCTTACTTGGCTCCTAGAAGTTAATGCATACATCTTTAGAATACCATGACTGTTCCTGATAAGAGTGTCCTCCGGTAACTGGGGTCTTAGGCAGTTATGTCAGTAACAGTGACCTACAGTGGGCACTTTGGGCTCTGGGGTACGTGTTTGACCTTTGGGGGAGTCAGCTTCATGGAGTTCTGTGAGTCCTTCTAGTCATCTCATTGGTAGGTATTCTGGAGGACACTATCCCTGACATAACAGCCTTTACATTCATCCTAGACATTAATATTCTCTTGTCTATATTGCATATATTGCTTATAGCCAATAACCAGAGTGTTGCTTACAGCCAAAAACCAGAAACAACTTCTCAGATGTACTTCAAGGAGCAAGATTGAGAGTAGTAGGTTTAGGCATTTTCTTTTTCAAGGAGTGGGTGTATGTGTTTTCCTTCACAGGAGTTCAGCAATAAACAATGATTACTACCTAATGCACTGGACCATAAGCTCCAAAAGGAAGGGTACGTTTTTTGTTGTTGATGTTGTCTTCTATCTGGATGAGTGTTGTATCATCACACTCTAAAATAGTGTAGAAGTTTAATAAATATTTGCTGTGTAAATTGTATTGGACAGAGCACCTTTTTATGTGAAAGCTGAGATTATTATATTAATTTCAGACAGAGATGTTAATAACCCTTTACTCCTATTTTAAAGTAAAAAATCACAATAATTCTATTATTCTAAATATACAGTCTTTTATTGGCTTTTCAACATGTTTAAGCAGTTTTAATAGGTTAGGGACGTGCTCTCTTTCATGTCATACACTGGAAAACGCCTGCTACTTACACATTCTCTTTGTGTGGTGACTTTACAAAACACCCTGAACAAAAGCAACTTCCAGGCTAAGAGTTATTTGACTATTGGGAAAGAATGATTCCAGAAGTCTTTTGGAAGACTTTTCTCCAATAGTTTAGAAAGCTTTCAAGTAAACACATAATAAAGAGGGGTTGTAATAGGATCTCAGGTATATAATACATTCATTTGAGCATAATATCAATATTAACTCTTTACATATTATGATTAATTGAAATGTTGTATTAATTTACACATGCTCCCATACTTACACACTAATTTATATAAGTTATTACACCAAGAACTGGTCTTTCCTAATAAATGAGAACTCTACTACTAAAAATTTATCCATACATTTAAAAAAGATGTGTGTGTACATATATGTATGTACATATTGTTGATTGTAATAAGCAATGATGTATTTATTTTTACCTAAAAATGTTGAATTAATTATAGGGTAGGAGAGTGCTAGAATGGGAAGAAGTAATAATGTAGTACTAAATAAATCATTTGATTCTTTTTTTACATTTTTCACATTGCATTTTTATGGAACAACCGACACCACACACATATACACACATACACATATATATACACATATATATGTATGTGTACATACACATATATACACATATATATGTATGTGTATATATACACATCAGCTAATACACACACACACACACAAACACACACACAAACACACACACAGTTGGCCTTTACATTCATGGGTTCCTCATCAGCTAATTCCACCAACATTGGATTGAAAATATTCTAAAAGCTATTAAATCTGTACTAAACATGCACCGATTTTTTCCCTTGACATTATTCCTTAAGCTATAGAGTATAGCAACTATTTACAAAGCGTTTACATTGTATTAGATATTATAAGTAGTCTAGAGATGATTTCAAGAATACAAGAGGTTGTGTGTAGGTTATATGCAAATACTACACCATTTGATATCAGAGGCTTGATCCTCCTGGAAATAATCCCTCATGGACACCCAGAGACCACTATATATATACATATGTGTGTGTATATATATATGTATATATATACACACACACACACACACATATATACATATGTATATATATATATGCATGAGTTAAAAATTTAAAGGCCCTTTTATTGTATTGTATTAACTTAATTGCAAAATATTCCGATTTAAAGCGCAAACTCTAATGATCATTCAATTATAAACATTGCTATTACTTAAGCAAGAGAATTGCTTGATATTAGATTTTAACTTAGTATAAAATAAGGAAATTTAAGTGATGAAAAAGCCTATCTTTGAAAAGGCAATGTTGTGTAGATTAATAAAATTATATAAGAGGTACTTTAGTCTCCTCAGAAGGATATTAAAAGGAAAATACATATTATTAACTGATTTAGAAACAGCTAAAATGGAACTTCTTAAATAGTAATTGCTGCTTTAACATGCTTGGAGGACTCCGGGAATATAAAGTACGAACAGTTGATTTCCAGTGTGGACATTTGTCCCCAGTATGAGCTTTGTGGCAAGAAGTCACATTCATTGTCTCCAGTCACAATCGTTGTGAGTGTTATGCTCAGAGACCGTTGACCCACACTGTTCCATGTTGCATGCCTGGCAAGCTGGCATATGTCTGTTACTGCAGAGTGGGTGGTGCTGCAGCGGCAGCCGTGCAGTAACTATGGATGCAATTTCCCAAAGCATACATTTTACTAACAGATTTGAGAGAAAACTAATGTTTTCTATGTTTAAACTGACACGGCCTTATTGTAAGTGGAATACAAAATATGCATGAAGTTTTCAAATAAATCCAGAGACTTAAAAGAAGTTTTACTTTTCTTGTTGGTTGAGAGCCTCTGGAGGTTCTCATTCACTCCCCTCTGCTATTAGAATAATTCAGTGGGAAAGTTTGTGAAATACTGCACCATCGAGTCTTTGATAGTCTACATTAAATAAAAATGAATTTCTGTCAAGATGACAGCTATGCATATTCTATAGACTCTTGTTTATTCCTCTTTCCTCAAGGCCGGGTCTAGCCCAAATTTTGGCTGGGAGAACTTGGTATGCAGGGAACTCATTTCCTTTTCTTCCTCGGCTTCTCCCTCCCTGACTTTGTCTCTTCCTGTTTCCTCTACTTTTCTTATTTCTTACTATTTCTCCTACTTCTTCCTTTTTCTCTCTTCCTTTACCCTTCTCCCTATCTCCCAGCTCATTCTTCTGTTCTTCTTTCAAATATTTATTAGGAGTCTCTTATCTTAGGTACAGTGATAAACACTGTGGTTATAAAGATGGAAGATAGGAGAGAAAGAATTGGAGCATTCTGCTTTAAGCTCCAGATAATTATACTTATTTTTTCAGAACTATGTCACTAGTGCCTTCTATGATATCTAGCCTATATAAAATGCTCAATAAATATTTATGAATAAACAAATCAAAGAATGCATAAGGGAATGTAATAAAGTAATTACAAGTAAACAAGTTTTAATAATGTCTGCTTTTTATTTAATCTTATTACTTGAGTCTTACACTCACTGATAAGTAAGAAAAGTGGAAAAACTAAGGCGCAAACTCAGGTGTCATGGTACTGCTTCCTGGAGAATATCTAGCATTGAAGCTTTGTCTTGTCTTCAGTGAAGACCAAGGAGTCTGGCAAGAATAAAAGAAAGGAAATAACATTCTGTGCAGAGTAAAGGACACATTCAAAAATAATAAGGCAGAAAATGGCATAGCATGTTCAAGAGATGTTAAAACTATTTCAACATGACTAGTGCAAACCACCCTGTCACACCAGAGGGATGTTTGGGAGTAAGAATAGTTTGCTTGGTAGAAATCATGAAAAATAAATATTTTGACAAACAGAACAAAGTGACCTTATATATTATCTCAAGTGCTTTTGAATTTTCCTTCTCAGACATTTCTTATCCTTGATGCTCATTTAATTTTTCCAAACATGCTTTCACAGGGTAATAAACCAATTACCTTGTTCACACTTTTAAGTTGGTAACAATAGCTGAAGCAGAGGATTCAGAATTAAATTCCAGCAATACTTCAGGTTATATTAGTGTGTGAGACTTCTGGGCACAATTTTTGGAAAGAGTGTTTGGTGATTTCAGTGCTCATGAACCTGCTTAAAAGGATTCAACTCCATCTGGTTGTTTCCATCAGGGATATGAGTAAAGTATTATTAGACGCTTTCATTTTTCAGAAGACAAGATATCAATGCCTGAATATAAAATATAAAAAGTTAAATGTTGATCAACTGTATTGGTTTTCTATTACTTTTGTAACAAATCACCACAAACTTGGTAACTTAAAACACACTTATTAACTTATAGTTCTGTAGGTCACAAGTTTGACATGGGTCTCATTGGCTAAAATCAAGGTATTAAAAGGACTGCATTTTCTCTTGCATTCTGCAGGCTCTAGGGAAGAATCCATTTTCTTGGCTTTTCTTGTTCTAGATGCCACTCACTTTTCTTGTCTCATATCCCCCTTCCTCTGTCCTCAAAGCTAGCAACATTGCATCTTTCTAAACCTTCCTTCTGCAATGGCATCACCAACTGACTACAGCTAGAAAAGGTTCTCCACTTTCAAAGACTTATGGATTAGATGGTCCACCTGATTAATTCAAAATAACACGTGCAAAGTTTTTGGCAATGAAAGGAAATGTATTCACAAGTTCCTGAGATTAGGACTTGAGCATCTTGAGGGGTGGGGTTTGAAATTTGTCTACCACACAAGTTTATGTGTTAGTACATGTGTTTTTATTATTGTGTAAGTCAATACCAAGAGGAAGGGGAAACAAACAAATAAACAAGCAACATAACAATAAAAAACTACTGTCAGATACATAGTGTTTATAAAGCCAAACTTTATTCATTTCTGATAGGTCAATATTTTCACTTTTTTTTTTTAAAGAAAGCCCAGGGAGAGTGATGTCAGCAAGATAGCAGAATAAAAGTTCTCTGGCTCTAGTCTTCCTCACAGAAGTCCACCTAGCAACTATCCACAGATAAGAATATCCTCATGGATGTATCAGAACTTGAGAGTGGACCACGGAACTGAGAAAAGCTGCATTTGAAGAGTAAGAGAAACAGTTTCACTTGGCTTGTGTTGTCCTTTCCTCCAAGCTGGCATAGCATCACACAAAGATGATTCCCCTTGGCCCACGACTTCAACAGTGGAGAAAGAGAGTCAGAGACAGCCATTTACCTTCCCCACCATTCTGGAATCCTCTGCAAGAGACCTATTTCTGTCCTGTCTCATGGGGAACATTAAGGGTATTGGTAGTGCTAGACTACCTGGGGTCAGTTAGAAACAAAGAGCAGGGGTGGAGCTCAAAGTGACCAGAGAATGGATGTTGGTAGTAGCTCTGCATTCTGGCCAACAGAGGAATCTCACCAGAGAAACAACACAATCCCACCAGGAAATCCCACCTGGCCAACAACATTGATCTGCAGAAAGCACAGTAGACAGGTCTGCCAGGCTCAGGTGCCTAGCTGGCTTCCTCATCCATTTCTGGTGCTCTGATTGAGTATTTCTCAGGCAGAGAGGCAAGCACAGGTCTAAATATCTGTGAACAGAGATATCTGGCCCTACCCAAACTCAGTACGGAGTGCTGACCTCATCAGGCCTTGGAGCTCTGCCTTAGACTTTCCCAGTCTGGGAGACAAGCCTATGTCCATGCATATCTGTAGCAACTCTGGCTCTAACTATCATGAGTGGCTAAGCAGCAACTTCAAAGACTTTGCCTAATGTAGAAGCCCAGCAAACTACAGATTTCAAAAAGCAGCACTGCCTAGCCAAGGAAGTTGTCCCGCAACCCTGCCCAATCATAGGTAATTACAGAACCCAGCCAGTATCTCTGCCTGACTATGGAGTCCAGCCAGTGGTCCCTCCAGACCATGGAGCACAGCCAGCAATTCCACGTGACCTCAGAGCACAGGCTGTAGCCCAGTACAACTGGAAAACCCAACAGCAAGGTTTGCCTTGTTACTAGCTGATCCATCCAGATTTCCAGGCTAGACTAAATATTGAAACTATATCACCACCAAAGAACAATAGCAAAGGCCCGAAAAGGTGGCCATTTCTTCAGATGCAC